>NC_000001.11:238759879-238911394 GCF_000001405.40 Homo sapiens | reverse complement strand
CATTAATGCTGTTACTCGCCATGATCAGGGAGGTTATTAGCATGCCGTTGTTATATGTTTTGTCATAGAGTTTGACAAGAATAAAAAATTCAACAGTTCCCTTTTTCTCTACCCAAGTAATAATAACACTTCTTAGCTCCTTTCTATTTATTTCTACATTAAAACATTATAAATGAAATGCAGTCTAAGTCCTAGTTCCCATGGTGTATGTACTTTATTTTCAATTATATTTAAAATAAACTATTAGAGACTATATTAAGTACCTTCAATTTTTGCTAAAAGTGTTATTATAAAATGGTGTGAAACGTGCAAGTCACATTGCAGAAAATGTTTCCCTGGCCCATTTAAAAATTATTTCTTGTATGTCCCTTGACATGTCAATGAATAATGTGCATGAAGGACCATCAGGTGTCTACTTGCATCAATGAGAAGGAATTGCTAGCTTCCTGAAATGTGTGGTTCAACCTTTCCTTATGTTGATTTCAACACACTGATTTTTTTTTTTATTCTCCACCGTTCCTCTCTCTCTATTTTCCTCTTCCTACTCTATCACACACACACATACATGGGCAAAGACAGACATTTTGATTAACTAATTTGTCATATCAAGGTTAGACACCATGTGGATCCATATAATTTTAAAAAATTGCTTGAGAAACATTGAAATTTATTGGTTGTGTTTATTACTAAAAATGTGGTCATTTTCATTGATTATAAATAAGTTTGTTTTTAGAAAATAGATTATCTTAAACATTTTTTAAAATATGTCCTATTCTTGGGCTATCTTTAATAATCCACTCTTTAAAAACACAGACTTTTACTAGGCTATACCCTTACTTGAAACAAGTTTTTTGTTCTTTACATTTCCTCACAACGTTGTCTACAGATTTACACGTTAAAGTAATAGTGATGATGATGATGGTGAAAACTTATCTTTGCATTTTACCACAAGAAAAAAAAAATCTGTCAGAGGTGTTCAAATATATACAGGCTATAGAAAAAGAATGTCATTTTTAATTTATTTTAGGCACACTTTTGATTTTAAAGATAGTTAATAAGTCTTTATCACTAATCTATTACATGGAAGACACAAAGGTGATATTTATGTCAATGCTGGTGCTGCTAGACCAGGGGCTGAAGATTCAGAATCACTGCTTTATATATATTTCTTTCTTTCTTTTCTTTTTCTTTTTTTTTTCTTTTCTTTTTTTTTTTTTTTTAAGATGGAGTCTTGCTCTGTCGCCCAGGCTGGAGTGTAGTGGCGCAATCTCAACTCACTGCAACCTCCACCTCCCAAGTTCAAGCAATTCTCTGTCTCAGCCTCCCAAGTAACTGGGATTATAGCCACCAAGCCTGGCTAATTTTTTTGTATTTTTAGTAGAAACAGGGTTTCACTATGCTGGCCAGGCTGGTCTTGAACTCCTGACCTCGTGATCCACCTGCCTCAGCCTCCCAAAGTGCTGGGATTACAGGTGTGAGCCACCGCACCCAGCCGCTGTATATATATTTCTTCTCTTCTCTTACCTTTACATTTTGCAAGCACCATATTGGATTTCTTGGAAGTGTTCAATCATGACATGGGTTTTGGTTTTTGTTTTTTCTACTAAGATTTCTCATTGGCCACTTGTACCACCAGTATCACCTGTCTTCCTTCACCCACTTGTCAGTTCTTTATTTTATCCTGATCCCTCATGAGTGAATGTGATTTCTCTCTCATATACCCCAACAGGACATTCTACTTTTATAACCTTAGCATTTATATTGCACATGTAGATTACAAATTCCATGGGGGCAGAAATCTGTGTTGGCCATCACTAACTGCTGAGTCTAATGTCTGGTACTTAGTATTGAGATTAGCACATATTTATTGAATGACTGTTTTGAAAATTCAAATTTACTCTTACTGAATAGCCGTATTTTAAAATGCTATCGTATGTTCCTTATAATTTATGTCAGGCCCTGGATTTTAGAGATGATTTTCAAATGTTATTGCTGGCCTAATATATTGAGCAAGTATGAATTTCAGCCTTGATTTTAATGTATATACTACTTTCTTTTGAATTCCTAGTGCTATTTTTATTTTATTCCTTATTACACATACCATAAATAAAAATTATTAGGAAGTATTTCAATATGTATTTAGAAGACATTGCATTTATTTTGGATCTGTATACTATTGAATCAACGTTTTGAAATGGCTGATTTGAGAACTGCAATTGTGTATTAGAGTGGTTTTTATTCAGGTGTTTTAGAATGATGTCCCAAAAAGATACTTGTATTCTGGAAAATGTATCTAAAACAATGAAAAATTCTTAGAAATAAATAAAAATATTCTTAAAGAAATAAAAAGTATCACAATATCACATTGAGTTGAAACTATGCACCATTCTGGAAAAGCCATATTTGTTTCTAAACAATAAATCTGATTATATTAAAAGTACTTCATTATACCAAACTTACCTAAGGAGAAATTTGAGTTTGAAGGAAAAAGGACTGGCCAGATCTTACTCAGCTTAGAAATTTCGCAAATGAGGAAAATGAAGACAAAGGAGATTAAATCATTTACTCCAAACCACAACACTATTTACTTAATGGCACAGCTGGAAAAAGAGGGCCACTTTCTTTAATTCAGAATTACAGCTAGTTTTTAATTACAATGCATCTCACTTTCATTATTATGCTTCCAAATTATAATTCTACTGGTGACCTAATAGTTTATCTTTCCTAAATAAATATATTTAGCTTAATCTGAATATTTACAGGTGAGATAAGATTAGGATACACTCATTAGTTAGAGAGTTAAATGTTTTTGTGCCTGATAAGCAAGAAAAGTAAATTTGTAAGGAGACCAATTAGGCTAAATTTGTATTACTGTAAATAATGCATGCAGTAGATGCTGAATCTAGAGTACACAACATTGTACTCTAGCTTGTACTGTACTATACAACTCTATCCATTGAGTAGATGATCCATAAAAACATATTTATATGCACCTAATATTTCAGAGTCTAAGTTTAATTTTTCCTTTCTATAAAATGGAGGCATTGGACTCTCTGCCTTTTAAGATTTCAACTGATTTTTAAAAACTTATTCATAGTCGCATCTGATTTTAAAGAATATCTGATTCTGTGACGAAGCAGAGAATGTTAAATGCTAAATGATAGTATCATATATTGGTGCAGCAGAATTTCAGAAGAGCTGGTTACTTTCAGCCCTTGCCTCCTTGTCATTGATCTCTGCTTGTAGGTCAACTCTTCACACACTCAGAGTTAAAATCCCTAATAAAATAACAAGATGACACAATGCAGAAACCTCAACCAACTTTCTAAAAAATACACAAGAACATCAAATAGGAAAGAAATAAGCAACATTTACATTGAAAGCTAAAGAAGAAATCAAACTGTATAGCACAGAAATTTGGGTAAGCGCTAGAGGATACAGAAACATGGAATTTTAATAATAAAAGTTCTCTGAAGACAGTAAGATGGTAAGAGAGTTAAGTTTAGGCTTGAAGCTTGCAATCCAAAACCCGTGCAAAGAGAAGAGAATCGGTGGAAACACTGGCAAAGGTACTAAGCTGTGAAAGAACTTGACATTCTAAACTGAAAGAATATATGAATCGAGGAGAAGAGAGGCAAAAGATGATACTAGAAATATAAGTCAGATATTTAAAGGACTTTGTTGATCATATTGTTTTATGCTGGGTACAATGAGGAACACTGAACGGTTTTATCACAGAGTAACATCTTAAATAAAGTACCGTAAATGCTAAAGTAATTGTGGAACATTTAGAAAGTTATTACAGTAGTCCATGAAGGAAATGATGATTAGGTAATGGTTGCCACAGATAGAGAGAAATGCACAGACTATAGATATTCTTTTCAGATAAAACAGAACTTGGACGTGTGTGTGAGAAAGGATGATATAATGCCCTCGGTTTTAGCTTTCTTCAGTGTTGTAGTGGTTTCCTATTCTGAAATAAGAACAAGAGAGCATACTTTGGAGAAAAGTTGTCAGTTACATTTTGGGTACTTTAAATGTTAGATGACTCATTGTAGATATCAAATATGCTGTTGATTATATGAAACTAGAATTCAGAAAGGAAGTTTAGACTGAAGACATAAACTTGGAGTGTAAGCTTATGCACAGACTTTCAAACAAGAGAAACCAATACAATTTTGTAGAGAAAAAATGTAATTCATATACTTATGGATTAGTGAAATTGTGCTTATAAAGACTTGATAACAAAGTTTGAAAATTCTGTTGATATAATGATATATGAAAATAAAAGAATACAGACTTGGATATAAAGTATCCAAGTATGTATGAATAGAAAGAAAAAGTCTGAAAGTAAATATATAAGAATTTCAGTAGTTGTCTATAGATATTGGAATTTTGGAAAAGGTTTTGTGGTCTTATTTCTACTTTTTAAAATTTTATGCTAAGTGTTCCTTTAAAACAATGGAATTTATTTTTTAATTACTAGATTTTTGGTTAAATGTTGTATATAAATCAGCCCTATTCATTGCCTCTGTCTCTAATATACCAATAAAATAGCCGTAAAGAGTAAAAGAAGGAATAAAACCAAGTGAGTAAATAGCATATTTATCAGGATCAGAAAAGAGATTTAAAATTCATTATTAAAAAAACAGAAAAGAGTACTGTTAAATAATTGAGCCAGCAACCTAAACACCTACCACAAATAAACATAAATTTATAATAAAAATATGTTACAATGAACCTTATTAACCTAATATAATACTATATTGTTATAATTAACATAATTTTTTAGATGTAACTAAATACTAAGAGTTTTATTTTATTTTTATTTTTATTTTTTTGTGGGTGTTGTCCTCTTGCATTTTCTAAATAAATAGAAATCACAAATATATGCTTTTAATTTGGAAGCTTCTTCTTTTACTGTGTTTTATTTTTGTTTTAAACTGCAAGTGTGTTGGTAAAATTGGTTTATTTCTTTTTTAAAATTTTTTTATTATACTAGGGTACATGTGCACAACGTGCATGTTTGTTACATAGGTATACATGTGCCATGTTGGTTTGCTGCATCCATCAACTCATCATTTACATTAGGTATTTTTCCTAACGCTATCCCTCTCCCAACCTCATACCCCCCAGCAGGCCCTGGTGTGTGATGTTCCCCTTCCTGTATCCATGTGTTCTCTTTGTTCAACTCCCGTTTATGAGTGAGAACACATGGTGTTTGGTTTTCTGTCCTTGTGATGTTTTGCTGAGAATGATGGTTTCCAGCTTCATCCATGTCCCTGCAAAGGACAGGAACTCATCCTTTTTTATGGCTGCATAGTATTCCATGGTGTATATGTGCTACATTTTCTTTATCCAGTCTATTATTGATGGACATTTGGGTTGGTTCCAAGTCTTTGCTATTGTGAATAGTGCTGCAATAAACATACGTGTACATGTGTCTTTATAGTAGCATGATTTATAATCCTTTGGGTATAAACGCAGTAATGGGATTGCTGGGTCAAATGGTATTTCTAGTTCTAGATCCTTGAAGAATCGCCACATTGCCTTCCACAATGGTTGATCTAATTTACACTCCCACCAACAGTTTGAAAGTGTTCCTATTTCTCCACATCCTCTCCAGCATCTGTAATTTCCTGACATTTTAATGATCGCCATTCTAACTGGCATGAGATGGTATCTCATTGTGGTTTTGATTTGCATTTCTCTGATGACCAGTGATGATGAGCATTTTTTCATATGTCTGTTGGCTGCATAAATGTCTTCTTTTGAGAAGTGTCTGTTCATATCCTTTGCCCACTTTTTGATGGGGTTGTTTGTTTTTTTCTTATAAATTTGTTTAAGTTCTTTGTAGATTTTGGATATTAGCCATTTGTCAGATGGATAGATTGCAAAAATTTTCTCCCATTCTGTTGGTTGCCTTTTCACTCTGTTGATAGTTTCTTTTGTTGTGCAGAAGTTCTTTGGTTTAAACAGATCCCATTTGTCCATTTCGGCTTTTGTTGCCATTGATTTTGGTGTTTTAGACATGAAGTCTTTGCCCATGTCTATGTCATGAATGGTATTGCCTAGGTTTTCTTCTAGGGTTTTTATGGTTTTACGTCTTACATTTAAGTCTTTTATCTATCTTGAGTTAATTTTTGTATAAGATGTAAAGAAGGGATCCAGTTTCAGCTTTCTACATATGTCTACCCAGTTTTCCCAGCACCATTTATTAAAAAGGATTCCTATCCCCATTGCCTTTTTTTGTCAGGTTTGTCAAAGAACAGATGGTTGTAGATGTGTGGTGTTATTTCTGAGGCCTCTGTTCTGTTCCATCTGTTCCATTGGTCTGTATATCTCTTTTGGTACCTGTACAATGCTGTTTCATTTACTGTAGCCTTGTAGTATAGTTTGAAGTCAGGTAGCGTGATGCCTCCAGCTTTGTTCTTTTTGCTTAGGATTGTCTTGGATATATGGGCTCCTTTTGGGTTCCCTATAAAACATAAAGTAGTTTTTTTCCAATTCTGTGAAGAAAGTCAGTGGAAGCTTGATGGGGATAGCATTGAATCTATAAATTACCTTGGGCAGTATGGCCATTTTCACGATATTGATTCTTCATATCCATGAGCATGGAATGTTCTTTTTTTTTATTATTATACTTTAAGTTTTAGGGTACACGTGCACAATGTGCAGGTTAGTTACATATGTATACATGTGTCATGCTGGTGTGCTGCACCCATTAACTCGTCATTTAGCATCAGGTATATCTCCTAAAGATATCCCTCCCCCCTCCCCCTACCCCACAACAGTCCCCAGAGTGTGATGTTCCCCTTCCTGTGTCCATGT
Source organism: Homo sapiens (assembly GCF_000001405.40). Taxonomy (NCBI): domain Eukaryota; kingdom Metazoa; phylum Chordata; class Mammalia; order Primates; family Hominidae; genus Homo; species Homo sapiens. The sequence goes on along the minus strand of NC_000001.11, from coordinate 238,904,563 downwards.
GTTCTCATTGCTCAATTCCCACCTATGAGTGAGAATATGCGGTGTTTGGTTTTTTGTTCTTGCGATAGTTTACTGAGAATGATGATTTCCAATTTCATCCATGTCCCTACAAAGGACATGAACTCATCATTTTTTATGGCTGCATAGTATTCCATGGTGTATATATGCCACATTTTCTTAATCCAGTCTATCATTGTTGGACATTTGGGTTGGTTCCAAGTCTTTGCTATTGTGAATAGTGCCGCAATAAACATACGTGTGCATGTGTCTTTATAGCAGCATGATTTATAATCCTTTGGGTATATACCCAGTAATGAGATGGCTGGGTCAAATGGTATTTCTAGTTCTAGATCCCTGAGGAATTGCCACACTGACTTCCACAAGGGTTGAACTAGTTTACAGTCCCACCAACAGTGTAAAAGTGTTCCTATTTCTCCACATCCTCTCCAGCACCTGTTGTTTCCTGACTCTTGAATGATTGCCATTCTAACTGGTGTGAGATGCTATCTCATTGTGGTTTTGATTTGCATTTCTCTGATGGCCAGTGATGGTGAGCATTTTTTCATGTGTTTTTTGGCTGCATAAATGACTTCTTTTGAGAAGTGTCTGTTCATGTCCTTCGCCCACTTTTTGATGGGGTTGTTTGTTTTTTTCTTGTAAATTTGTTTGAGTTCATTGTAGATTTTGGATATTAGCCCTTTGTCAGATGAGTAGGTTGCAAAAATTTTCTCCCATTTTGTAGGTTGCCTGTTCACTCTGATGGTAGTTTATTTTGCTGTACAGAAGCTCTTTAGTTTAATTGGATCCCATTTGTCAATTTTGGCTTTTGTTGCCATTGCTTTTGGTGTTTTAGACCTGAGGTCCTTGCCCATGCCTATGTCCTGAATGGTCCTGGAATGTTCTTCCATTTGTTTGTGTACTCTTTTATTTTGCTGAGCAGTGGTTTGTAGTTCTCTTGAAGATGTCCTTCACATCCCTTGTAAGTTGGATTCCTAGGTATTTTATTCTCTTTGTAGTAATTGTGAATGGAAGTTCACTCCTGATTTGGCTCTCTGTTTGTCTGTTATTGGTGTATAGGAATGCTTGTGATTTCTGCACATTGATTTTGTATGGTGAGACTTTGCTGAAGCTGCTTATCAGCTTAAGGAGATTTTGGGCTGAGACGATGGGGTTTTCTAAATATACAGTCATGTCATCTGGAAACAGAGACAATTTGACTTCCTCTTTTCCTAATTGAATGCATTTTATTTCTTTCTCCTGCCTGATTGCCCTGGCCAGAACTTCCAACAATATGTTGAATATGAGTGATGAGAGAGGGCATCCTTGTCTTGTGCCAGTTTTCAAAGGTAATGCTTCCAGCTTTTGCCCACTCAGTATGATATTGGCTGTGGGTTTGTCATAAATAGCTCTTATTATTTTGAGATACATTCCATTGATACCTAGTTTATTGAGAGTTTTTAGCATGAAAAGCTGTTGAATTTTGTCGAAGGCCTTTTCTGCATCTATTGAGATAATCATGTGGCTTCTGTTGTTGGTTCTGTTTATGTGATGGATTACGTTTATTGATTTGCGTATATTGAACCAACCTTGCATCCCAGGGATGAAGCTGACGTCATCGTGGTGGATAAGCTTTTTGATGTGCTGATGAATTCAGTTTGCCAGTATTTTATTGAGGATTTTCCCGTCGATGTTCATCAGGGATATTGGACTAAAATTCTCTTTTTGTTGTGTCGCTGCCAGGCTTTGGTATCAGGATGATGCTGGCCTCATAAAATGAGATATGGAGGATTCCTTCTTTTTCTATTGATTGGAATAGTTTCAGAAGGAATGGTACCAGCTCCTCTTTGTACCTCTGATAGCATTTGCCTGTGAATCCATGTGGTCCTGGACTTTTTTTAGTTTTAGGCTGTTAATTATTGCCTCAATTTCAGAACCTGTTATTGATCTATTCAGAGGTTCAAATTCTTCCTGATTTAGTCTTAGGAGGGTGTTTGTGTCCAGGAATTTATCCATTTCTTCTAGATTTTCTAGTTTATTTGCAAAGAGGTGTTTATAGTATTCTCTGATGGTAGTTTGTATTTCTGTGGGATTAGTGGTAATATCCCCTTTATCATTTTTTATTGCCTTTATTTGATTCTTCTCTCTTTTCTTCTTTATTAGTCTTGCTAGGGGTCTATCTATTTTGTTGATCTTTTCAAAAAAACAGTTCCTGGATTCATTGATTTTTTGAAGGGTTTTTTTGTGTCTCTATCTCCTTCAGTTCTGCTCTGATCTTAGTTATTTCTTTTCTTCTGCTAGCTTTTGGATTTGTATGCTCCTACTTCTCTAGTTCTTTTCATTGTGATGTCAGGATGTTGATGTTAGACTTTTCCTACTTTCTCTTGTGGGCATTTAGTGCTATAAATTTCCCTCTACACACCACTTTAAATGTGTCCCAGAGATTCTGGTACATTGTGTCTTTGTTCTTATTGCTTTCAAAGAACATTTTTATTTCTGCCTTCATTTCGTTATTTACCCAGTAGTCATCCAGGAGCAGGTTGTTCAGTTTCCATGTAGTTGTGCAGTTTTGATTGAATTACTTAATCCTGAGTTCTAATTTGATTGCACTGTCGTCTGACAGACAATTTGTTATGATTTCCGTTCTTTTGCATTTGCTGAAGATTGTTTTACTTCAATTATGTGGTCAATTTTAGAATAAGTGTGATGTGGTGCTGAGAAGAATGTATATTCTGTTGATATGTGGTGGAAAGTTCTGTAGATGTAGATGTCTATTAGATCCACTTGGTCCAGAGCTGAGATCAAGTCCTGGATATCATTGTTAAGTTTTTGTCTCATTGAACTGTCTAATATTGACAGTAGGGTGTTAAAGTCTCCCGTTGTTATTGTGTGGGAGTCTAAGTCTCTTTGTAGGTCTCTAAGAACTTGCTTTATGAATCTGGGTGCTTCTCTATTGGGTGTATATATGTTTAGGATAGTTAGCTTTTCTTGTTAAGTTGATGCCTTTACCATTATGTAATGGCCTTCTTTGTCTCTTTTGAGTTTTGTTGGTTTAAAGTCTGTTTTATCAGAGACCAGGATTGCAACCCTTGCTTTTTTTTTTTTTTTTTTTTTTTTTTTGCTTTCCATTTGCTTGGTAGATCTTCCTCCATTCCTTTCTTTTGAGTCTATGTCTGTCTTTGCACGTGAGATGCGTCTCCTGAATATAGCACACCAATGGGTGTTGACTCTATCCAATTTGCCACTCTGTGTCTTTTAACTGGGGCATTTAACCCATTTACATTTAAGGTTAATATTGTTACGTGTGAATTTGATCCTGTCATTATGGTGCTAGCTGGTTATTTTTTGAATTTTCAGCCTTTCTGCTCTGGTTTCTCCCCATCTTTGTGGTTTTATCTACCTTTGGTCTTTGATGTTGTTGACCTATGGATGGGGTTTTGGTGTTGATGTCCTTTTTGTTGATGTTGATGCTATTCTTTTCTGTTTGTTCATTTTCCTTCTAACAGACAGGCCCCTCAGCTGCAGGTCTGTTGGAGTTTGCTGGAGGTCCACTCCAGACCTTGTTTGCCTAGGTATCACCAGTGGAGGCTGCAGAACAGCATATATTGCTTCCTGATCTTTTCTCTGGAAGCTTCGTCCCAAAGGAGCATCTGCCTGTATGAGGTGTCGGTCTGCCCCTACTGGGAAGTGTCTCCCAGTCAGGCTACATGGGGGTCAGGGACCCACTTGAGGAGGCAGTCTGTCCATTATTAGAGCTCAAATGTCATGCTGGGAGAACCACTGCTCTCTTCAGAGCTGTCAGACAGGGACGTTTAAGTCGTAGAAGCTGTCTGCTGCCTTTTGTTCAGATATGTCCTGCCTCCAGAGGTGGAATCTAGAGAGGCAGTAGGCCTTGCTGAGCTGGTGTGGGCTCCACCCAGTTTGAGCTTCCCTGCTGCTTTGTTTACACTGTGAGCATAGAGCCACCTACTCAAACCTCAGCAATGGCGGATACCCCTCCCCCCACCAAGCGCCAGCGTCCCAGGTCGATCTCAGACTGGTGTGCTAGCAGCGAGCAAGGCTCCGTGGGCATGGGACCTGCCAAATCAGGCACAGGAGGGAATCTCCTGATCTGCTGGTTGTGAAGACCATGGGAAAAGCACAGTATTTAGGCAGGAGTGTACCATTCCTCCAGGTACAGTCACTCATGCCTTCCCTTGGCTAGGAAAGGGAAATATCCTGACCCCTTGTGCTTCCTGGGTGAGGCAATGCCCTGTCCTGCTTTGGCTCAACCTCCGTGGGCTGCACCCACTAAGATAAACCAGGTACCTCAGTTGGAAATGCAGAAATCACCCGTCTTCTACGTCAGTCTCACTGGGAGCTGTAGACCAGAGCTGTTCCTATTTGGCCATCTTGGAAGTGACTGTAATTAACAAAATTTTTAATCTAATGATCTACCTAAAGCTTGCTTCAGTAGTCAAGCCTCATAAAATGATTTTTCTTCCTTATCAAGAAGAAAATTGAGTGACATCATTTATGTATAGACTATTACACTGAGCTTTGGTTAAATTTTTGTTTGTTTAGCTTTTATCTTATCTGTTAAGTTGTTGTTACAATCCTCCTTGTGCAAAGCCTAGAATTAACCAAGGTAACACCAAATAATTATAATTTTTGGTATAGAGAAAATAATTTTGTTTTTGCCTGAAAAGATACACTATTAACATAAATAAATCTTTTTCAAACTGCTGAAAGAGTAACTTTACAAATGTTAAAATAGTAATTTCAAGAAAATGATAAGGTTTGGTATTCTGTATCATCTCTGTATTATTTTTTATGTAACCAGTTTATTAAATGGGTTGGACTCAGTGAAGGTATAAATGCCTTAATTTTTCTCTAGCTGCTGACATCTGACATGATCTCTTATGTCTTCCCAATCTGGATGAAATCTCAACACACATCTGTTCTTTCCAGAAGACAAAAAAAATAAAGGAGTCAAGGGAGGAAAGAAAAAAGTTATTTGCTTGTTTGTTTGCTGATTGAAGTATTTAACTATCTTGCTATCTTAGATTTTTCTTGGTTGACCATAGATGCTCAAGATGTAGTTATCATCCCAGTGAGCCTCTTACTTGTGTTCCTTGGAGGCCCCTTGGGAAACTGACACTGTGATGGTTAATATTGAGTGTCAACTTAATAGGATTGAAGGATGCAGAGTATTGCTCCTGGGTGTGTCTGTGAAGGTGTTCCAAAGGAGATGAACATTTGAGTCAGTGGGTGGATGGGGAGAGGCAGACCGACCCTCAGTCTGAGTGGGCATCATCTAATCAGGTGCCAGCACAGCTCAGATGAAAGCAGGCAGAGGAACAAGGAAGGACTAGACTGCCTAAGTCTTCCAGCCTCCTTCTTTCTCCCATTCTGGGTGCTTCCTGTCCTCAAACATCAGACTCCAAGTTCTTCAGCTTTTGAACTCTTAGATCTACACCAGTGGTTTGCCTGGGGCTTTCTGGCCTTTGGCCACAGACTAAAGGCTGTGCTGTTGACTTCCTCATTTTTGAGGTTTGGGACTCAGACTGAATTCCTTGCTCCTCAGCTTGTAGACAGCCTATTGTGGGACTTCACCTTGTGATCCTGTAAGTCAATACTCCTTAAAAAACTCCCTTTCATATATACAGCTATCCTATTAACCCTGTCCTTCTAGAGAACCCTGACTAATACAGATTTTGGTACCTAACACTACTAATAATGATCTATCCAAGACTGGGTAATTTATAAAGAAAAGAGGTTTAATGAACTCCCAGTTCCACATGGTTGGGGAAGCCTCACAATCATGGTAGAAGATGAAGGAAGAGCAAAGTGATGTCTTACATAGAAGCAGACAAGAGAGCATGTGCAGGGGAACCACCCTTTATAAAACCATCAGATCTTGTGAGATGTATTCACTATTGCAAGAACAGCACAGGAAAAACCTGCCCTCGTGATTCAATTACCTCCCACCAGGACCCCCCATGACACATGGGGATTATTACAATTCAAGTTGAAATTTGGGTGGGGACACAGAGCCAAACCATATCAAACACTATGAAGTTCTACATCATAGAAAATGTACTTTCTGGGTCATGTCTGGCTGCTTGTCTCCTACTTTAGCTTTTTTTCTGGAAATAATATCCATAACCTCTAACTGTTGGGATCCTTGATCTTGGCATTATGTGTACTTGAGAAGTACCTTCAAGATGGTTCAGCTCAGTCATCATCTAAGACATCCATGTCCCAATTGATTTACATATCTTTGTTTGTTTGTTTGTTTGTTTTTTGAGATGGAGTCTTGCTCTCTTGCCCAGGCTGGAGTGCAGTGGCCTGATCTCGGCTCACTGCAACCTCTGCCTCCTGGCCAATTCTCCTGCCTCAGCCTCCCAAGTAGATGGGACTACTGGTGCATACCACCACACCTGGCTAATTTTTGTATTTTTAGTAGAGGCAGGGTTTCACCATGTTGGTCAGGCTGATCTTGAGCTCCTGACCTTAAGCGATCTGCCAACCTCAACCTCCCAAAGTGCTGGGATTACAGGCCTGAGCTGCCACGCCCAGCCTGATTTACATATCTCTGAATGCCAATTGGTGGAAATCCACAATGCTTCCCTGCTTCCCTCCTTATTCACCCTGCCATAAGGTGCTGCTCCAGATCTTCTCATATGGTCATAATTCTTAACACACAGAAGCAGATCCAACTCCCTGTTTTTATAGGTCCTCACACTCAAATAGATATATGACGTGCAATATCTCTCTAACCACATTTCTTTTCTTCTGGTGCCACTGAGATATGCCCAAGTTTCTAAAACTCAGTCTCCTCCTGTTTAAATTATCCCAGTCTCTACAGAGGATCCTTGTGGAGCCCTCCCTACTTTGCATATTCTTAACACTATACGAAGCTTGCTATTTTATGAGATAAGTCATCCACATTCATCAACTTCAAAATTAACTTTGCTATTCTTAATAACTTGTTCTTAGGTTGAATATTATGCAAAACATCTCAAGAGTCATTGTAAAACACTCCTGAGATGATTATTACAATTACATTTAATTTATATGTTATGAAGAAAATTGGCATAAGACATTGAATCATTTTATTTATGAACACGATTTAATTATACACTTAAATTCTTGTTTGCTTATTTCAGGAGAAGTTTACAGCTTTCATTGTGAAGTTCTTACACATTTTATTATTTTCAATTATTATTGTAACAACGTATAACCTCTATTATTTCATTATGGTAAAATATACATAACAAAAAATTGACTATTTTACCCATTTTTAATGTACAGTTTAAGCATATTAAGTACATTCACATTGCTGTGCAAACATCACCACTATCTACCTTTGGTACATTTTCATAATCCTAAACTCTAATTTTTTAGATTGCCTAATTGATTTTTTGTTATGATAAAGGATAATTATTAATTTTCTGTAGTTGCCTTATATGTGGAAAACTATCAGGAGCCGAATATTTATTCTAATATTTTATCTCTCAGTTTGGAGTCTAATATTTATTTTAATAGTTTACCTCTAGATTCATTTGGATTTGTTACATAGAAATTCATGTTGTCATCAAACACTAAGCTGTTTCCTAAATATTTTCATGTAACATGATCTCTTATACTTTATATCATTTTATTCTTAACCTTGAGTATTGTCCTCACTTCTCTCTTACATTTTACTAATTATCTATTCAACTTTGTCTAATTAGCTATTTCACTCAGTTTTTTGAGCTTTTAATTTCTAGGTTTCAATTACTATAACTTCTCTTCTTCGTGTGTAGCTTTAACAGTTTTAAATAATTCTTTCATCACTTTAAAATTGTTCCTCTACTTTGATTTTTCTGGGTACTAATCTTCTCATGTGTCCCTTCCTCATGGTGAATTGTTTAACTTTGAATTATTTTATTCTTTGGCTGTTAGCTCAGTTTTAACTGCCTCGCCTTACTCTGTGGTCATCCCATACATTATGTTAATTGTTCCTAGGGAGTAATGTCAAGTTTGCTCAAGTGGGTGCTCAATGGATTTCACTAAAAATTGACTCTTTTTTCCATCATTTATATTAGTTCATTGGCTTTGAAATATCTCAACACAGGGAATTCAACAAATTTGGCTCCAACATTTTAACCTGCTAGAGGTAACGTCTTTTTTTCTATCCCCTTATAAGGGATAACTGGAAGGATGGCCGAGAAAGGAATGAGGCCAATAGACCCAAGTTCAGGCAAGCTGATTTATTGTCAGTCCTGTCGGGCTACCTCCTGACAAAAGCAGAGGAGGCAGCCCCACTTACAGACTACAGCAGGGCTGTATAGGGCAAGGAACTGGGTCAGGGTTGGCGAGCTAAGCTGGGTGTGACTGACTCACACCCAGGGTGGGGGAGCTGAGTGAGGAGTGCAGGTGTCTTGATCACATCTTGGAGATGTTTTTTGCCAGGTTTGTCATATGAGGTGAACAGATATGTGAGGTGAAGAGACATGTTAACCACATCCTGTAACTGTCTGGACAAATAGTTACTGGAGGAGTCAGTGAAGTGAGGGGGTTGTCTTTTGCCCTGGGGTAGCTGTGTGGAGAGTACAAGAGACTGTGTTGTAAAGCCTGTGGGAGGGGAAGGGAATGGTCTGGTCGGGATGGCCCTAACACCCCTGAATTCAAGTTACAGAAAAGCTTCCAATTCCATCTTGAGCTGGAGGTAGGGTTCTTTTCATCTCCTGTCCCAGAGAGAGAAACTTCCCAGGCTTCCTAGATTATGCAGGTATCTTCGTTATAGATTCTGGTTTTGCTGGGGTCCAAGGAGTATATCCACGTTTTCATAGGAAGATAGATGCTGAAGGAAACTAAGAAGTCATCAAGTCTAACCATGTTGTTTTAGAGTGAATCTTCTTATTTATGCTGATTCAGTTACAGGAAAAATTGAATGACTCTTACTCCCCTCCTTTTAAAAGTAAGAAGTCCAAAAATAATCTGGTGAAAGCACAATAATTTAGTCTACCTCTATTCTGTTTTAATATTAGGCTTTAAAGAATACATTTTAATTATTTGTAAAAATACCTTCCTAAAACATGGAGAAATTGAGAAGGTGGATATGATAGACAGGTCAAGAGGTGATAATTTAATTACACAGTCAATTATTGAGCTATTCATTATTGAAGGCAGATACAGAATTCTTTTGTATCCTCTCTGTGAGTTTTCTTAAATGAAAGATGTTCTCTAAACTGTAACTTAATTATTTTAATACACTTTAAATGAATAGATTTAAGAAATCATTTGAAAACATAGTAAGTCATTGTTAAGTCTTTCCCTGAATTTATCTATGGATTATGAATATAAATTTGGTCAAGTCATATGTATCCTCCCACTGTGCTCCAGAGAAAGAATAACAAATGGTTCTTCACATCAGCCTGCAGACTTGCAGCCATGCAAACACCTAAGCCAAATGGAACTCTGTGGACAAAGGATGCTGGATGCGCCCTGCATTTTAATTGTTGGGGAAGAATTACAGCCTCAGGAATTATAGACATGGTCGCTTACTACGATTTGAACTTTAAAAAGAATCACCTCAATTTTATTTTTCTTTTATGTCAAAGTTGTCATTTTCCAGTAGTAAAAGTAAAGTGTATATCCTCCTTTGCTTTCTGTGAGTAAAATTAAAGAAACATACATGCCCTGAAGAGTCCTCGGCAGTCAAATTTTCTCTAGTTTTGTATCCAGTGCCCCTGCACTTCCAAATCTTTTCCATGGAAAGCTATACAAAGAAAACGAAATGTTCTAGCATCCGCTGAATGTAATAGATGGAGGCGGCTGCTCGTGGCCAGACGTTGTGGAATCACTGCTCCGATTCCACACACGCTGGCCAGCTGCCCTGATGGCCGAAGGGAATCCATAAATGGATACTTATAATCCATATGCCAAATGATTGAGAAACTATGCTAAACAAGACCATACCAATCATTTCACAAACATAAAGCAATACATTTAAAGACTATCCCAACATTATCAATTCATTAAACACTGACTTAGCATGCAGTGCCATACCCTGGATAGTGAGGATGACGCCGCAGAGGATGATGGGTTCAGCAGCCCAGATGCCCCTCATGACCACACACTCATTTCCCCAGTGCAGGGAACATTGGCTATTAGCAGCTCTCAGATGGGCCCATTTCCAGGGAATTGCCCACAGCAGAAGGAAGCTGCCTCACTCACAGCTATGCCACTTCTTCTCTAAAGGCAGCTCCAATGCAGTGTTTGTTTAACAGAGGAGGGTGGGATAAAGTTTGTGAATTTAGTCAACTCTGATGGGTCATGCTAGCTCTGGAGCTCTTCAAGGGATCAACGGAGCTCTCTGTTGTAACTGCAGCATGGTGCAGCTTCTCCCTCTGCCCAATCCTACTTCCCTCATTCACTTAAAGAATTTGTTGCAGAGAGGGCTCCCCAGCAGATCTTCCTCACGTAAATCGGTTTCATTGTCTGTTTCTTGGCAAGTAGATCCATGATAGGAACAAAGATAATTAAGACTTAGCATCTATCCTCAAGGATCTTAGAATAAGGATGGAATGGCATGCAAACAAGCAAATATTATCATCCTAAAGGATTCCATAGTATATGGATAAGCATAATATATGGAAGCACCAAGGAGAGAGTGATCAGTAACACCTAAGGAAGAAGTGATAGAAAGGGGCATCCTGAGAGACATCAGTACAGTATAACACAGCATCAGTCCCTGTGGCACTGCTCTCACTGTCCACAGTATGACATTGTATGACAAATAAATGTTCATTGAATTAATAATGTTGAGATAGTTTTAAAATTTATCAATTTATTGTTCATTGTTTTAATCATTGTATCATTTTCAAGGAAAGGTCAACAAGAAGGTAAATGTTGGTGGTGGGTTAGAAATGATCAATAAAACTTCAACAGACAGAGTAATAATAGGACATGCCAGGCAAAGAGAATAGCATTTTAAAAACTGCAGACATGGCCAAGTGTGGTGGCTTACGCCTGTAATCCCAGCATGTTGGGAGGCCGAGGCAGGTGGATTGCCTGAGGTCAGGAGCTTGAGACCAGCCTGGCTAACATGGAGAAAACCCATCTCTACTAAAAATGCAAAAAAAATTAGCCGGGCGTGATGGCATGTGCATGTAATCCCAGCTACTTGGGAAGCTGAGGCAGGAGAATTGCTTGAACCCAGGAGGCAGAGGTTGCAGTGAGCTGAGATCATGCCATTGCACTCCAGCCTGGGTGACAAGAGTGAAACTCCATCTCAAAAACAAAACAAAACAAAACAAAACTGCAGACAGGTATATCTTCAGAGAGGCACAAGTAGTTTGGAATGACTTCAGCAGGAAGACAAAGCTGGCACGGAAGTCAAGAGTTAGATTGCAGATGTTGACCCGTGGCCTTAATTTTTAATCCAAGAGCTGTTGCTTTCCTTCATAAACTTTAAAAAATATATTATGAATGAGTGTGGTATTAGTTTATGTGACCTTTATGCTGAAGTAACCTGAAGTCTTCAAAATACACTGGCTTAAATTAGATTGAAATACTTCTTTCCCATTATCAGTTCAATATCAGTGGGACAAACTGGCAGGAGGCCTTGCTTTCAGGGATATAACTTCCTTCCATCTTTTAGCTCTGCCTTCCCCTAACTGGTATCCTGGAAGTTGGGATGCTGCCCTGTGAGTTAACACAGAGAAGAGTCACTGGAGAGAGAACAACAGTTCTGTTCATGTTTTAATGTCAAGTTTGAAATGAGTCACTTCCTCTCACTTTCCCTTGGCTGGTTCTTAGCCAGGTGAAACATCTATTCTTAGAGGACCTGGGACCTGGATGGCCATGAGCCAAGCTTACCTATGTGGAAAAGAGGGAGCACCAGCACTATCCGAAGAGGAGAAAAGGACACGGGAACATTCAGTGGATTCCATCGTCATTGCCAATGTTTTCAGAACTTGCGGTTCTTACATCATAACCAAGATTTCTGCCCTCGATTATAAACCAGGGCCTGCATTTTTATATGGCAAAAATCAGCTGGTTCTGCTAGAAGTTATTAACCTCAAAGGGCCTAGTTCTTGGTTCAATACATGCAGAAGTCAATAAAAAAATTACATAAGCTAAGAAAATCTTTTATATGCTTAAAAGGCAATATATAAATATTTTGAAAGTATCCAATGAAAAATTTATTAAAAAAATATGATGTAATGAAAATTGTGATGAATAAGGAAATTATCTTTGATAAAACTTTATGAATTAAAAAATACTGGCATTCCAACAGAGGTTTTAAAATGTAATTATGTATTAAATAAAAACATATATAGTAAAAAATGTCCTGAAAATACTAGTTTTTTTGTTTGTCTTTTTTTTTTTTTTTTTTTTTTGAGATGGAGTCTTGCTCTGTCGCCCAGGCTGGATACAGTGGCGTGATCTTGGCTCACTGCAAGCTCTTGTTTGTCTTTATTTATTTATTTACTTATTTATTTATTTATTTTTTAACAAATGGAGCACTTCTTATGTTATTTATTTGGTCTCAAATAAGTTGGGTGTTCTTAGTGGAAATAAGCATTTGGAGATGTAAGTTAAATTACAAATGTCATTGCCCTGATGTGAAAATATGGCTAAATTTTTACTGGACATATTGGTCAAGTTTTTAAACCACCTACGTCATCTACTGTTGCAAATGTTAACAGCATAGATAAGTACAAATGTAACACCCTTTCCACATGACATTGGAGGTAGTTTTAGGTTTGGATTGGCATACTCATTCATACAGCTCATGGGCCATAATCTGGCACTATGTTCACTTTAGTTTTCTGCAAAAATATAGATCAGGGATTTCAATATATCTGACAGCTTCAGGAGAATTGTCTTCACGGGGAATGCATAGAGTACATAAGAAAATTATTCAGGCTACCTAAGTATCTTCCCATTTATAAGGGATAAAGCCACGTGTGTTGATGCAGAGACCATCCTGGATTCGAATGAGAACATCCACTTTCATTCGCCACAGGAACCAGTATCCTGCAACCTCCCTCGAGCAAAATTTTCAGGTCCCGCAAGAAACAATTTAGAAAATCCACTGCACACAGATCTGAGAGCTGTGTCCCAGTAGTTTTTAATAGCTCATTCTCAGTCTGCCAAGCCCAAATGCAATTCATCAAATATGGGACATTTTTGTAATAAACATCACTGCCTAGTGATAGAGCTGAAATGCCATATTTAACTTAAACCATTAGATTTCCAGGGAAACTGTGCTAGGAGAAGTAAGTCCTGGGTTATTTTTTTCCCATGGAAAAATCATTTAGACTTACCATTTTTTCTTCATCCCGATCCACTTTGATGAGACTTTTGATGTTAAAAAATATTTTGGCAATAATACGTCTGAAAATGTGACCAACACATAGCCTTACGTAATTCTGACAAGAAGAATATTGAAAATATTAAGTCTTTGGTCAAAAGTTGTAGTTGTCTAAATAATGCTCCTGTATTCCTCATTGCCTGACACTACTTGTGAAAAATCATCATCACTGACTTGTTTTTATTGTTCTAGGCAGATCATCATACCACTTAGGACCAGAATGAGAGCACATATGATTCTTTCTAGTTAACAGTAAAGCCAGCCCATTCCATTCTCTGCTTCATCTCCCTCTCCTATAATTTTATTGCCAGTATGTATGTATTTTTATCTGTGAGTGTTTACAAATTTTATGTGCCTACCAAGTGAATACAACATTTCATCAAATAAAAAGGATTTAAGAGCTCTTGCTTATAGTTTAATTCTTCTCTGACTTAGAACATAACTTCTAGCAAAATAGTATCCCTACTTCAATGGGCTCTTGAGATTAATTTTAAATAGATTTGATTTTGGTTGGAGAGATGAATCTCTATATCTAAATAAATAGAGAGATGATAAATGGATGGACAGATGCATAAGAAGAAATAACAACTCCAAAATTTCTATCTTTATCTAAGACTTTGCTCCTGAAGTACAGACTCATTTATATAACTCAGCATCTGAACTCGTATATCTGCAACACATTTTAACGAATGGATCCAACAGTGAACTACATATAATTTTTTTGCACCAAACCTGCTTCACCTACATTTTTACATCATTTAATGACAACTTTATCCTACTTATTGTACAGATGAAAAACTTGAAAGTCATTTTTGACTCTTGTGTTTCTTTAAAATTCCATATCCAATCCATCAGAAAATAAGTTAGTTTCAGGTTCAAAATATATCTTGATTCCCAACACTTCTCAGTATCTCACTGTAATGACCTTGATCTGAACTACCATCTTCACTCTCTTGGATAATGTCCTAATGAGTCCCACTGCTTCCATCCTTACATCTGTGGACAATTCTTAATACCGTAGCCAGTGTGGGCCTTTCAAAACATAAGCCAGATGATGTCACTTCTCTGATCAAAACCCTGCAATGACTCCCATTTTACTCAGAGCAAATGGCACACATGAAACAGTGACCCTCAAGACCGATGTGACCTTCCCTGCTCTTGGCAATGTTATATCCTTTTCATCATTAAGTACTGAAAGAAATATGAATGCACATCTGCAGATAAGGGCTATCTTAGGGATAAGGTATTACCACACCAACGTGTTTTTGGTATTCTAAAGGAAGGAGTCAGGTTATAAAGCAGAAAAACAAAATAGAAGCAAATTTATAAATAGTGCTTCTTTCTAAAGTCCTGAATATGTGTAACCCTATTGGGAGCAGTGTACGCACAGCCCTAATAAAGGGTTTTTTTGTTTGTTTGATTTTGTTTTTCTTTTTCTTTTTTTTTGTTTTTGAGACGGAGTCTTGCTCTGTCACCAGGCTAGAGTGCAGTGGCGTGATCTCGGCTCACTGCAACCTCCGCCTCCTGGGTTCAATCAATTCTCCTGCCTCAGCCTCCCGAGTAGCTGGGACTACAGGCGCTCCACACCATGCCCAGCTAATTTTTGTATTTTTAGTAGAGACAGGGTTTCACCATGTTGGGCAAGATGGTCTCAATCTCTTGGTCTCATGATCCACCCGCCTTGGCCTCCCAAAGTGCTGGGATTACAGGCATGAAGCACCACGCCCAGCCAATAAAGCATATTCTATGTCCCATTGCACTAATCATTCATTAGAATGACAGTGATGTTGACTTCGACAAACCTAATGTGCT
The DNA here is from genome assembly GCF_000001405.40 of Homo sapiens. Taxonomy (NCBI): domain Eukaryota; kingdom Metazoa; phylum Chordata; class Mammalia; order Primates; family Hominidae; genus Homo; species Homo sapiens. Next base: position 238,889,403 of record NC_000001.11, on the reverse strand, counting down.
AACAACTAGAAAAATTGGGAATTGGGGCTGATAATGAGAGAAAGATTGTACATTAAATGAAAATCTTATTTGTTTATTTATTTATTTTGGACATCAACCAAAAGAGAAACAAACGAGATTCAACCCCAAAAGTCTGGGCCTTAAGTCCTTTCCACATTTTGTTGCCTCAAAGTTGCTGAGTTGACTGTGAGGACACTGATAGAGCAGGGAAAACACTTGGAATGTCCCACTTTTGTGTCATGGCGTAGATTTAACCTACATTAACTTCAATAATTTATGGGCTGGGGAGTTGGAGCAGCATTTCTGAAGTGTGTTTGCAAACATGGCCAAACAGACACAGCTCCAAATTTCCGTAGTGTTCTGCTTTCTTTGTTACATTATCTGGTCCATATAAGCTGATGCTTTACCCTGAAATTAACATTTTCCTTGCGGGATTGCTGGAATAATTGTATGAATAATTCTGAGATTTGACCATGAGAATAGCTAACTATTTCACTCTTCATCTTTTAATTTTCTGGGAGCCATTATCCAAAGAGAAGATCCACTGCTATCCTATGTGCTCCCTTGTCAAAACACACCATATGAAAAGAGAGAGTGAGGTACCCTGTGGAGTTTGCTTCTCTATGAGCCCTTTCTTAAGGCACCACCAATAAAGGAGAAGGATGCACAAGGAGCATGGCATTGGGGGAGGAGGAGAAATCAATATTATACCATTTTCCCTCCCTTGGTACCACTAACCATGGAGATTTGCTTCACCTTTCTCAGTGTCCTATAGAAAAAATAGACTCATCCATCACTTCACTTGGCTTCTGAATCAGTCAGGTTAAGCAAAGCACTGTAAAAAGTCAACCACAAAATTCTGTGGCTTCATACAATAGAAATCGATTTCTTGTTTGCATAAAGTCCTAAGAGTTGTGAGAGACAGCAAGAGGCTCTGCTCCATACTGTCATTCGGGAACCCAGATTTATTGTATATCTTAGGGCTTAGAGTCTTCTGATGGCCAATGTATGAGGGAGGAGAGAGAGAGCAGGAATGATTGCCTGAAGGCTTTTTTAGGGGGTCGATTCCCAAGCCACATTCCACTGTTTGTCTATAACATGGTCACCATTAACTGCAAGGGAGGGTCCCAAATGTGATCTAGCATTGTGTGCAGAAGAAAAAGAAAATGTGTTTTGGTGAATGCATAGCAATTCCGGCTGCAACTTTTGCAACTCCACATGTTCTTAAGGTCTCTCCTTAGTTAGTGGCCACTCCTTCAGAGTGTTCTTTGATGATTGCCTCTTTCGACAACCAACTCCAAACATTGGTGCCTAAGGGAGATCTGGGCCCTCTGGGTTCTCTATAGCTCTTAATCATAGTTTGGAAAGTCTTCTGAATCACACATTGTACCTTTTTTCATTTTTTTGTCTCATTTTTCTTTTCTTTTCTACTTCCTTCCTCTTTTTCTTTTTCCCTGTATTTTTTAAAATGTATTATTCTCTGTCTTACACATTAAAGCCTTGCTCAAATATTTGATAAACTTTGCTTGTCCTTGCATGCTTAAAGAAAATCACTAAGGACACTGGATATTCTATATGCACAGGCTTGTCAACTGGTAGGCTTATCTGTAAGGTAATATGTCAGAGAACATGTGTGTGTGTGTGTGTGTGTGTGTACTCTCACACACGCTGTATACGTGGATGTACCTATGGAAGGGAGGGTTTTGTCAGTTGCCGTTATTCTTGGAAAGAATGGAGTAAGGGGGCTGGAGTGGGAGTCTCGCTATTCTGTGCGTGGATTTTTCCTAATGTCCCTTTTCCATTATGGCCTCTTTCTACCCACTGTGTCTTTAAGGGAAATTACTCCGGCCATTTTAAAATAAAATGTATTTTTTCGTTCCATATGAATTTCAAAATAGTTTTTTCTAATTCTGTGAAGAATGTAAATGGTAGTTTGATGGGAATAGCAGTGAATCTATAAATTGCTTTCAGTAATATGGCCAGTATGATTCTTTCTATTCAGGATCATAGAATATTTTTCCATTTGTTTGTGTCCTCTCAGATTTCCTTGAGCAGTTGTTTGTAGTTCTCCTCAAAGAGGTCCTTCACTTCCCTTGTTATCTCTATTCCTAGGTATTTTATTCTCTTTGTAGCAACTGTGAATGGGTGTTCATTCATAATTTGCTCTCTGGTTGTCTATTGTTGGTGTATAGGAACTCTTGTGATTTTTGCATATTGGTTTTGTATCCTGAGACTTTGCTGAAGTTGCTTATCAGCTTAAGAAGCTTTTGGGCTGAGACGATGGAATTTTCTAGATATAGGATCATGTCATCTACAAACAGACACTTTTACTTCTTCTCTTTCTATTTGAATATGCTTTATTTCTTTCTCTTGCCTGATTGCCATGGCCAGAACTTCCAATACTATGTTGAATAGGAGTGGAGAGAGATGGCATATTTGCCTTGTGCCAGTTTTCAAGGGGAATGCTTCCAGCCTTTGCCCATTCAGTATGACATTGGCTGTCGGTTTGTCATTAATGGCTCTTATTATTTTGAGGTATGTTCCTTCAATACCTAGTTTATTGAGAGTTTTTAACATGAAGGGATGTTGAATTTTATCAAATGCCTTTTCTGTGTCTATTGAGATAATCATATGATTTAGCCAAGACAATCCTAAGCAAAAAGAACAAAGCTGGAGGCATCATGCTACCTGACTTCAAACTATACTGGAAGACTACAATAACCAAAACAACAAGGTACTGGTACAAAAACAGACACATAGACCAATGGAACAGAATAGACAACTCAAAAATAAGACTTCACATCTACAATCATCTGATCTTCAACAAACCTGACAGAAACAAGCAATGTGAAAAGGAGTCCCTATTGAATAAATGGTGCTGGGAGAACTGACTAGCCATATGTAGAAAACTGAAACTGGACCCCTTCGTTACAGCTTTTACAAAAATTAACTTAAGATGTATTACCAACTTAAATGTAATACCCAAAAGAATAAAAAACCCTAGAAGAAAATCTAGGCAAGGCACATTTGGTTTCCCAAGTCACCCGCTTGGCCCTTTTCTAAGTTATACTTTCCTTCTTTTCTTTTATTTCCTTACTATCTAAAGCTTTTTAATAAACTCTCACTCCTGCTCTGAAACCTGCATGGTCTCTCCTTCTGCATTCTGCCCCTCGGTTGAATTCTTTCTTCTGAGGAAGCAAGAAAAAAAGAAAGAAAGAAAGAAAAATGCAAAAAAGAAAAAAAAATCTGGGCAATATGATTCAGGACATAGGCACAGGCAAAGATTTCATGACAAAAACATCAAAAGCAATAGCAACAAAAGCAAAAATTGACAAATGTAATCTAAATAAACTAAAGAGCTTCTGCACAGCAAAGGAAACTATCATCAGAGCAAACAGACAACCTACAGAATGGGAGAAAATTTTTGCAACTTATTCATCTGATAAAGGTCTAACATCCAGACCCTACAAGGAACTTAAACAAATTTACAGGAAAAAAACAACCCCATTAAAAAGTGGGCAAAGGACATGAACAACTACTTCTCAAAAAACGACATTTATGTGGCCAAGAAACATATGAAAAAAAACTCAACATCACTGATTATTAGAGAAATGCAAATCAAAACCACAGTGAGATACCATCTCATGCCAGTCAGAATGGTGATTATCAAAACCTCAACAGATGCTAGCAACACTGCAGAGAGATAGAAACATGTTTACACTGTTGGTAGGAGTGTAAATTAGTTCAACCATTGTGGAAGATATTGTGACGATTCCTCAAAGACCTAGAACCAGAAATACCATTGGACTCAGCAATACCATTACTGGGTATATAGCCAAAGGAATATAAAATCATTCTACTATAAAGAGACATACACGTGTATGTTCATTGCAGCACTATTCACAATAGCAAAGACATGGAATCAACCCAAATGCCCATCAATGATAGACTGGATAAAGAAAATGTGGCACATATATACCATGGAATATTATGCAGCCATAAAAAGGAATAAGATCCTGTTCTTTGCAGGGACATTGATGGAGCTGGAAGCCATTATCCTCAGCAAACTAATGCAGGAACAGAAAACCAAACACTGCATGTTCTCACTCTTAACTGGGAGCTGAACGAGAACACATGCACACAGAGAAGGGACAACTCACACTGGGGCCTGTTGAGGGTGGGGGAGGGAGAACATCAGGAAAAATAGCTAATGCATGCTGGGCTTAATACCTAGGTGATAGGCTGATAGGCACGGCAAACCACCACTGCACACATTTACCTATGTAACCAACCTGCACATCCTGCACATGTATCCCAGAACTTAAAATAACATTTCCAAAAAAGATAAAATGTATTTAATATAGCAGATAGTAGCCTTAGACAAATACATTGGAAAAGTTAGAGAAGTAGCTCCAGGTAGGATCTTCAGCATTTAACCCCAATAAAACACTCCAGAATTGGCCTGTGAAAAGTCTGCCTGCCACACTGAGGAAAGTGAGGAATGAGAAAATTATCACTGGATCTGTTGGTTCCAGGAATAAACTCTACCTGCATTCCATGATTAAGAAACCAGAGTAAAAAACATTCAACTTAAAGAATATATTGCTTTAGCAACAATTAAGAAGCCACTGTTGCAAGGGCATGGTGGCTCACGCCTGTAATCCCAGAACTTTGGGAGGCAGAGGCAAGCGGATCACCTGAGATCAAGAGTTCGAGACCAGCCTGACCAACATGGTGAAACCCTATCTCTACTAAAAATACAAAATTAGCTGGGCGTGCTGGCGGATGCCTGTAATCCCAGCTACTCAGGAGGCTGAGGCAGAAGAATCGCTTGAACCCAGGAGGCGGAAGTTGCAGTGGGCTGAGATTGCGCCATTGGACTCCAGCCTGGGCAACAAGAGTGAAACTCAGTCTCAAAATTAAAAAAAAAAAAAAAAAAAAAAGAAGCCGCTGTTAACTTTGAGCCAACCACACCTACTAGATAAACATGGCAAAATTGTCCAATCTGCTCCTTGTCTCTTGCCACTGAGAAAACCAGCAAGTGGACAGAACGTTGTTAACACAGTCTCAGGTACTATACTTCCTTGCCTATGGGTGCCATTAGAGATGTGAGAAGCAGTAAGCATTTGACTTTCATGTGGAAATTAAACCAAAACTCCAGCTCTAGAAGAAATACTTTCTACTTTTTTTGGCTTCTGCGGTGCAAGATGGCATGGTACTAATCAACTGTTCTTTATCCTTGATCTTAAAAGTTCTGTGGTTAAAGTTTCCCAGAATAGGAGGGGAAGGAGATCCAGTTCTAATTGCTATACTGTATTTTCCCAGTCTTCCCCCTTTTCAGCTCCCTGCCTTGCCTACACTTTTTGAGTAAATAGTTCCTCTGATATTTAAGCCCCTCTAGATTTTTTCCAAAGGAGTAAATTATGCTTATTGATCTCCCCTTCCAGGCACTTGCTATGCAGCTTTTCAGCCCTCTGAACTCCTCCATATGTTTTCTATCTTCCAAAAGATATTCTAAGAAATATTGACCACACTTGCACTTGTTCACTGCTGCTTTATCTTCTGATAGCTTTGTTCTTGCAGGGATAAATGGTTTTAGCTATAGTACTCTTACTGAGTTAGGTTTTAGGAGAAAACAGAGATAAATGTGTCCAACAAATCAAGTTTAACCTAAAGTCCACTCACCCTTTTACATCTTCAGATTTTCTAAGGTAGTCATTCCATTGCTTTACAGGTTGTAAACACCATGTGCAGACCAATAACTCAGAAATTTGTGTTTTCATCCTGGATTTTACTGAAGAATTCCAGATTCATATATTCCACTGCTAACTTGACATGCCTTTTTCAATCTTTAATAAACATCATGGATATAAGTCTACCAAAATAGAATTATTGATTATGTTCTCTTCTGTTTTTTTCCATAGCATCTAAAAGACATGTAAACAGACAATTTAGAGAGTTCTGCATTCTAGTTTGTTTGATAAGAAGAAAAATCACTTATTATTAAATACGAATCCTTCAACCTCTCAATAGGATCAATTCATGCTCTTTCAACTTCAGTCATTGATTTCCGTGTTTCAAATTTCCCTGTATCCACTCTTTCTACACACACACATATACACATCCCCTAAACATTTTGATTTTTGGTTTTCTTTCTCAGGTTAGAAGTGATCTTCCCTATATATAAGTCAAAGACATAAAAATAGCTGATTAGACAGCTGATCCACCCATAAGAACTTTTTTACAATCTTGGAGATTATTAAAGATCTTTTTGAAATTAGAAATCTGAATTTAAAACAAGTTGTTTTGTTTTAATATTCTGTTCAGTGTGCAAAATTATCCCCAGATATATAGAGAGTAAATTTGTTTTATTGCTCTAATTCATCATGCTTCTCATTTACTGTGTAATGAGACTTTGGGCTGCAGGCCTCAATTAAATATTGCATACATTGTTCATGACAGAAAACCATACCATCAATAAGCATTCAGATTTTAAACATTTTATTGTAGTCAATAGATAGACTCAAGAAATATATATTCTGGAGGTTAGGCCTACTTTCTGTAATAGAGTGATACATTTAATAATATAAATATGATACGGTGGATATTTTAAGGCACCATAACACAAAGTCATATTTGGAAAGAATATTTTAAGTATTTATTAAAGCTAACAAGATGTTAAGCAAGTTAGGTATATATGCCTAGTTAAAATTTTTCCTAATATTTAAAAAATAAGTAGTTCTAAAATTATCATAGGAAGAACATCAAGTAAAATGAACAGTCAAACTTACTACATTTTTAAGTTGTGTCTGAAAGTGAAGCATATCTGATTCAAATGGTGTGTGCTTAGTGGTGCCACATGCATTCTCCATAATATTCTAATTAAAATTCTGCTGAAGATATGAAGGAAAATGACAAAAATTCAAAAGTAAAGAAAGGAGACTGGCAGAACACCTACTGCTAGAATCTTGGAAGATTTGACATTAATTATAGGCAGTATCTGGATTCAGAACAATCTTCCAAGGCTTTAGCACATAGTGTACGTTGGGGCTGCTTCATGAAGCAGTCTACCTAAAACCGTAGGAGGATGTTGAGTACCACCTTCACCATATTTTATCAGGCTTTCATACACACAGTGAGCACCAACCTGTGCTCCTCATCTGTGGATGTCTTTTTCTGTCTAGGCAATGAATAAACAAGCTCAAACAATAAATGTGCAGAGTCTCGAGTGAACTGATAATTCATTCTGGGAGGCATACTCTCTTGAAAAAAGGCAGGCATGCGCCTTCAGATTAAACTCAGATGGCAATGCATGCTGGAAGATTATAGCATTTCATTTGCTATATCCATCCAGGGGGTTGAGGGTTACACAGTGGGAAATGAGTGGAATTAAAGACAGTCAGAAGCTCCTTTAGAGCAAGACCTTGGTTTGTTTTCTTCACTGTTTCAACTCAGTGTCTAGAACAGTGCCTGACACACAGTAGTTACTGAACATATGTACAAAGAAAATTGATTGTAAATTTTAGAAAAAATCTAAAAGATATGGGACAGACCACACAATCATTATCATCAGCATTATGAGCATCATTATTTAGAATAATCATGACTAATATTTATAGAGCTCTGTACATAGTGCCCAGCACTCTGCTAAAAACTATTTTATTGTATTTTATCTGCATGACAATCCTGGGATATACCCTACTGTATTACCCTCATTGGAAACAAACCCACTAGTCATCACTAAAGGTGGCAGATCTAAAATATGAATAGGCATGGCTCTATGGCCCAGGCTCTTCATTGAACTAAGAAGAAGTCATCCTGTGGCAGACACTGCTAGTTGAATATTTTCCCTCCTAACTTCTGTGGCAATATAACCCCAAGCTTTTCTCTTTTTTTGGCTTATTAATATTTATTTATTTATTTATTTTATTTTATTTTACTTTAAGTTCTGGGGTACATGTGCAGAGCTTGCAGGTTTGTTACATAGGTATACATGTGCCATAGTGGTTTACTACACCCATCAACCCGTCATCTAGGTTTTAAACCCCTCATGCATTAGGTATTTGTCCTAATGCTCTCCCTCCCTTTGTCCCCCACCCACCGAAAGGCCCTGGTGTGTGATGTTCCCCTCCCTGTGTCCATGTATTCTTATTGTTCAACTCCTCTTATGAGTGAGAACATGCAGTTTTTGGTTTTCTGTTCCTGTGTTAGTTTTCTGAGAATGATGGTTTCCAACTTCATCCATGTCTCTGCAAAGGACATAAACTCATCTTTTTTATGGCTGCATAATATTCCATGGTGTATATGTGCCATGTTTTCTTTATCCAGTCTATCACTGATGGGCATTTGGGTTGTTTCCAAGTCTTTGCTATTGTGAACAGTGCTGCAATAAATGTACCTGTGCATGTGTCTTTATAGTAGAGTGATTTAAAATCCTTTGAACCCCAAGTTTTTCTTTTGGGATATGGCTGCCAGAAATAAAGATGACATTTTACTGGTGCTGTTAAAAGCAAGGTTAGCCATATGACTGTTTCTATCTAAAGTAACGGGGTGGAAGTGATATTTGCAATCCTTGAAACCTTAAGGGAAAAGAGTTGCAGAGAATATTCTTCTTTGCTCCTTCCTTCTTCCCAGGGGTAGCTCTGTACTTGCAGCCTTAGCAGTAGGCACCTCACATGATCGTGATTAAGTGTTCTCTTCTCATTATGGGAGTTTCCTAGAGGCACAGACCAAGTTGGTTTATTGTCTTTCCACCAAAGACTATTGCTTTGGAAGTGTATGACATAGCTTTTTTGAGAGAAAAAATTGGGATGAAAAAGCCTCAGGAGCCAGTGTGAATAAGATCAGCCTTGAGGCTTAAAAACTATGTTCAGACAAAAATATTTGACTGTGGTCTCTTATACAGAGAACCGAGCAGAAGCAAACAAATCAAAAGCCTTCTGAAGGAGAGTAGAAGTGAACACAAAATTAACTCTGAAAAGCCCCGTCTCCCAAAATCTCCATATGAGGGATTAAGTTTCAATATGCATTTGAAGGGCACAAACATTCAAACCATAGCACTCTTATCTTGAAATACCCTGGGAAATTTTGAAATCAATAATTGATGACAAATATTTTTTAAAATAAATGAAAAATTTAAGAAAACTAAATTGGACTTCTCTTTTTAAAATGCTACACAGTAAATTATCTGAGAAACTCCTCAGTTTCTAGATGTGGTGGGCACATCTAGAAATGCTGGACAACATAAAAATACAGCTTTCGACATACATGTCTGAGCTGATAGAGAAGAAAGAAAATTCTTCAGAAGTGAAAATCTTTACACCCATAGGGTCAAAAAAGTTTTGGAGCTATTGCTTGCCTATGGATTATCTGCTCATTCCTGTTGATACTGAATCTAGATATTAATGAGTAAAGCAGTAGAAGACTAGAGGTCATATGGTAGACCCATTCAATAAAGCTGAATTTGCTGAAAGTCCACATGTTCAGTGGGCTAACTACATAGAAAAAAAAGAAGAGAGACAGACAGAGAGAGAAAAGTATTATATAAACAGAGAGAGTAGGATTTATAATTCTCTTTGGTACGGGATGGAAAGGAGAAAACACTCATTTGAAAACCTCTAAACAAAATTCAATGCTGACTTGGATTCAGGGCAATTCATATTACTTAGGGGTCCAGAAAAACACCAAGCAAAATATGTATTTTTAAATTATTCCTAGGTTGTAAATATTTCCAGGAAATTAGCAAATATCCTCTTCGGTGTAGGCATTTTGAATCTGGTCTTAAAAATTTTTCTAAACTAAATATGATGAAAAACATAAACTCACAATCGAAAATCTTAAAATTTATGGGAGAAAATAGAAAAGGAATGAGCATCAACAAAACCAACAAAATGTACAACTGCAGATATGAGAGTGAAATATAATCAATATAATACTGATTTATTGTCAAACTCTAAAAATAGAAAATCAAAATTGTGATAAAAATTAAAATTTATCAAAATGACCAAGCATATTTGATTAAAACCAAAAATAATTTCAAGAAAATAAGAATGTAAAAATTGATTTAAAAAACAATCAATGGTTTAATTAAGTTCCATCTATTTATCTTTGTTTTGTTGCATTTGCTTTTGGATTCTGGGTCATGAAGTCTTTGTCTAATCCAATGTCTAGAAGGGTTTTTCTGATGTTATCTTCTAGAAATTTTTTAGTTTAAGGTCTTCGATCCATCTTGAGTTGAATTTTGTATAAGGTGAGAGATGAGGAACCAGTTTCATTCTCCTATATGTGGCTGGCCAATTATCCCAGCACCATTTGTTGGATAGGGTGTTCCCCATAAAAACATAAAGTGGGGAACACTTTGTCTAAGATCAGTTTGCTTTGTCTAAGATCAGTTGGCTGTATTTGGGTTTATTTCTGGATTCTCTATGCTGTTTCACTGCTCTACATGCTTATTTTTATGCCCGTACCATGCTGCTTTGGTGATTATGGCCTTATAGTATAGTTTGAAGTCAGGTAATGTGATGCCTACAGATTTATTCCTTTTGCTTAGTCTTGCTTTGGCTATGTGGGCTCTTTTTTGGTTCCATATGAATTTTAGTCTGTGAAGAATGATAGTGGCATTTTGCTGGGAATTGCATTGAATTTGCATATTGCTTTTGGCAGTATAGTCATTTTCACAATATTAATTCTACCCATCCATGAGCATGGGATGTATTTCCATTTGTCTGTGATTTCTTTCAGCAGTGTTTTGTAGTATTCCTTATGAGGTCTTTCACCTGCTTGGTTAGGTATATTCCTAAGTGTTTCATTTTTTTGCAGTTATTGCAAAAGTGGTTGAGTTCTTTATTTGATTCTCGGCTTGGTTGCTGTTGGTGTGTAACAGAGCTACTGATTGTGTACCTTAATTTTGTATCCTGAAACTTTGCTGAATTCATTTATCAGTTCTAGGAGCTTTTTGGAGGATCTGCACAAAAAAAGCAACAGTCAGCAGAGTAAACAGACAACCCACAGAGCGGGAGAAGATATTCACAATCTATACATCTGACAAAGGAATAATATCCAGAGTGTACAATGAACTCAAACAAACTAGCAAGAAAAAAAGCAATCCCATCAAAAAGTGGGCTAAGGACATGAATAAATAATTCTCAAAAGAAGATATACAAATGGCCAACAAACATATGAAAGAATGCTCAACATCACTAATGATCAGGGAAATGCAAATCAAAACCACAGTGTGATACCATCTTACTCCTGAAAGAATGGCCATAATCAAAAAATCAAAAAATAATAGATGTTGGCATGGATGTGGTGAAAAGGGAACACTTCTACACCGCTGGTAGGAATGCAAACTAGTACAACAACTATGGAAAACAGTGTGGAGATTCCTTAAAGAACTATAAATAGAACTACCATTTGTTCCAGCAATCCCTCTACTGGGTAACTACCCAGAGGAAAAGAAGTCATTATATGAAAAAGATACTTACACGTGCATGTTTATAGCTGCACAATTCACAATTGCTAAAATATGAAACCAATCCAAGTGCCCATCAATCAATGAGTGGATAAAGAAATTGTGATTTTATATATATATATATATACACACACACATACATATATATATATCTATATATACACTATATATACTGTATATGTAGTGTATATAAAATATACTATATATATTTACATTTATACAATATATAAATTTATATACACTATATGTAGATATATATGATAGAATATCATATATATATATACACACACATACCACAGACACACACACACACACAATAGAATACTACTCAGCCATAAAAAGCAACAAATTAATGGCATTTGCAGCAACCTGGATGGAACTGCAGACTGTTATTCTAAGTGAAGAAACTCAGGAATGGAAAAACCAAACATTGTATGTTCTCACTCGTAAGTGGGAGCTAAGCTAAAAGGATGCAAATGCATAAGAATGATACAATAGACTTTGGGAACTCGGAGGAAAGGTAGGGAGGAGGGTGAGGGATAAAAGACTACAGATTGGGCTCAGTGTACACTACTCAGATGATGGGTGCACCAAAATCTCACAAATTACCACTAAAGAACTTATTCATGTAACCAAATACCACCTGTGCCCCCAAGACCTTTAGAAATAAAAAATATTTTAAAAAAAATTAATCAATGGGTGGAGTGAGCAGATGATAAGAAACATTTGCGGGGAGTGTAAATTGAGTATCATATCCGAAAAAGGAAAACCCAAAATGAAAGTCACAAAGACAGGAGATGGGAAGTGCAACAGACAGGCACATGAAAATAAAGAAGAGAACAAGAAATACTTTGATATATACCAAAGAGGATAGAAATAATTGAAGAAATGCAATTTTCAAAATCTATTAATCAAATATATGAATTAATACTCAATATTCCAGTATCGATGAAAGACACAGGTTCTCAGATTCAGGAAGATCAATAATTCCAAACAGGAATAACAAGTATGAATCTATACCCAGAAATATATGAAAGAAAATCAGAGTATAAAATAAAATCAAAAAGAGTATTTTAAAAGCACCCAAAAATAAGGGCTAGACTGCCTACAAAGGAAAGGCAATTAATGTAATAATTTTTTGCCTCCTTGTAACAATGGCAGCCAGAAGACAGTGGAGTGATATCTTTGAATTATGAGAGGAAATTGCCATCAAGCTACAATCCTATGTCCAAGGATGCTATCTTTCAGAAATGACGACTTTTCTGAGAGTTAGGTGCTAAAAGATCCTAAGGGAAATTTTAAAGATTGCATTAAAAATGAAGAAATGTTATAAAAGAAGGAAAGTGTGGAATGAAGAATGGTGAGCAAATGAAATGTAACACATTGAGTAAATCTATAAAAAATCATGTTTACAGTTTTCTCGGAAACAATTACTTAAAATCAGTGAAGCCACATTAATGAAGTTGAAAAAAAAGCTTAAAACTCATGTTGCAATTATGCCTTTTTATCATGTGTAAAAGCTTTACAAAGTTTGTGTAACGTATAACTTTTTTTAACTCTATACACACATTCACACACATACAACGGAAACAGATGAAGCAAGTATAGGAAAGTATAAGAAAGTCAAGGTACAAAAAGGTAGTATATGTGTGCTTAAGCCATTCAAAATAGAGACAAAGTAAAATAAATGTTACTGTAAAGAGAAGGCAAATTTTTTTTTCTCTACAGATGTTTTATATAAAGTAAAATTATATGGAATAATAGCACTATGCTAAAACATTTCACAAAGAAATAACAGGTGGGATGAAAGCTTAGCTAATTAGCTGGGACACGCAACGCGTTTCACATTTGACTTTATAATGTAACATGATTCAGATCAATAAATGCTCCTGAAAATCTGAAACGTAATCATTAACAGGAAAAAAACCACTCTCTGAACACACACTAGAAAGAGAAGGTGAAAGCTAAGAATTATAGTTATCACAGAGAAATTACAAAGAAATAGAAGCAAAAGAAGAAAACAAAATGCAATAAACAAAATCAAATAAACCTAATGTATCACTTGTAAGTGTTGGCTATTATAAAATCAGATAATATTTTACTATTTCTGCCTTTAATTTATTCATTCCATGATAATTTGCTAAATTAAGATTTTTTTTCTAAAAACAAGCAAAATTGCTAAAAAGCACATTAAAAGTAGGAAGTATTAAAACATCTCTTTTTATTACAACTGATACCACAGACACAAAAAGATTATTTGTGACTGCTATGAACACCTCTATGCACACAAACTAGAAAACCTAGGGAAAATGGATACATTCCTGAAAACATAAATCACGAAGAAATAAAAACCCTGAACAGATCAATAACAAGTAGCAAGACTGTATCAGCAATTAAAAAATTACCCCCAGCCACCACCAAAAAAAAAAAAGCCCAGGGCCAGATAGATTTATAACTGGATTCAATCAGACATTCAAAGAAGAATTTGTACCAATCATGTTGGCGTTATTCTAAAAGATAGAGACAGAGGGAATCCTCCCTAAATTATTCTATGAAGCCAGTGTCATCCTGATATCAAAATCAGGAAAGGACATAACAAAAAAGTAACTAAAAACCAATATCCCTGATGAACAAATATGCAAAAATCATAAACAAAATATTAGCAAACCAAATCCAACAGCACATCAAAAAGATAATACACCATGATCAATTGGGTTTCATCCCAGGGATGCAGGGGTGGTTTCATATGTGCAAGTCAATAAGTGTGATACATCACGTAAACAGAATTAAAAACAAAAACCATATGATCATCTCAATAGATGCAGAAAAAGCATTCAATACAATTTAGCATCCTTTATGATAAAAACTATAAAAAAACTAGGTACAGAAGGAACTTGCCTCAAAATAATAAAACCCACATATGACAAACCCGTAGCTGACATCATACTGAATGGGGGAAAAGTTCAAAGCATTCACCTTGAGAACAGGAACAAGACAAGGATGCTCAATTTCACCATTTCTATTCTAGAAGTCCTAGAGAAAATGATGAGGCAAGAGAAAGAAATAAAGGGCATCCACATTGCAAAAGAGGAATTCAAACTATTGCTGTTTGCCAATGATATGATTGTCTACCTAGAAAACCTTAAAGACTCCTACAAAAGACTTGTATATTTGATAAACAAATTCAGTAAAAGCTCGGGTTACAAAATCAATGTACACAAATCAATAGCACTGCTGTACCTGCTGTACACCAACAATGACCAAGGTGAGAATCAAATCAAGAACTCAATCTCTTTTACTATAGCTGCAAAAAATTGAATAAAATACCTAGGAATATACTTAACCAAGGAGGTGGAAAATCTCTACAAGGAGAACTACAAAACACTGATGAAAGGAATCATAGATGACACAAACAACTGGAAACACATTTCTTGCTCATGGATAGGAAGAATCAATATTATGAAAATGACCATGCTTCTCAAAGCAATCTACAAATTCAATGCAATTCCCATCAAAATACCAGCACTATTTTTCATAGAATTAGAAAATCAATCCGAAAATTTATATAGAATTTAAAAAGAGCCCAAATAATATATGCAATCCTAAGCAACAAGAACAAATCTGGAGGCATCACATTAACCAAATTTGAATTATACTATAAGGCTACAGTTATGAAAATAACATGGTATTTGTATGAAAGTAGGCACATAGACCAATGGAAGAGAACAGGTAACCCAGAAATCAAGCCAAATACTTAACGACCAGCTGATCTTTGACAAAGCATACAAAAACATACATTGGGGAAATGACGCCTTATTTAATAAATAGTGCCGGGAAAAGTGGCTAGCCACATGCAGAAGAATGAAACTGGATCCCTATCTCTCATGTTATATTCAAATAAACTCAAGATAGATCCAAAACTTAAGTATAAGACCTGAAACCATAACAATTCTAGAAGATAATCTTGTAAAAACTCTTCTAGAGATTGGCCTAGAAAAAGAATTCATAACCAAAACCCCAAAAACAATGTGACAAAAACAAAAGTAAATAAATGGGACCTACCTAATTAAACTAAAAAGCACAGCAAAAGAAATTATCACAGTAAAAAGACAACCCACAGAGTTGGAGAAAATATTCGTGAATTATGAATCCGTAAAAGGACTAGTATCCAGAATTTGCAAGGAACTCAGACAAGCCTGTAAGAAAGAAAACAAATAACCCCATCAAAAAGTGGGCAAATGACATAAGTAGACCTTTCTCAAAAGAAGATATACAAGTGGCCAAAAAAGATGAAAAAATACTCAACATCACTAATCATCAGGGAAACGCAAATGAAAACCACAATCATATACCATCTTACTCCAGCAAGAATGGTCATTATTAAAAAGTCAAAAAACAGTAGATGTTGATGTAGGTGTGGTGAAAGGGGAACGCATATACACTACTGGTTGGAATGTGAATTAGCACAATATCTATAGAAAAAAGCATGGAGATTCCTTAAAGAACTAAAAGTAGATCAACCATTTGATCCAGCAATCTCACTACTGGGTATCTTCCCAAAGGAAAAAAAAAAAAGTCATTATATGAAAAGGACATCAGCATGTATATGTTTATTGCAGCACAATTTGCAATCGCAAAGATGTGGAGCCAGCCTAAGTCCCCACGGACCAATGAGTGAATAAGGAAAATGTGGTATAGATACACCATGGCATGCTCCTCAGCCATAGAAAGGAATGGAATATTGCAGCAACTTGGATGGATAAATTAGACGACATGATTCTAAGTGGAGTAACTCAGGAATGGAACACCGAATACTGTGTGTTTTCACTTACAGTGGGAGCTAAGCTAGGAGCATACAAAGGCATACAGAGTGGTATTTTGGACTTTGGAGACTCGGTAGGGAGAGGGTGGAAGAGGAGTGTGGGGAAAAAAACTTACATATTGAGTACAGTGTATACTACTTGGGTGAGCAGGGCACTAAAGCCTCAGAATTCACCACTATGTAATTCACCCATGTAACCAAACACCACTTATACCCCAAAAGCTATTGAAATAAAAAAATTAAAAATAAAAATAAAAAACAACAACCCATCTGTCTTGTATATATTACAGAACTTGAATAATTAATAAGATTCTGATATGTATATGTATAAAAATATATATAATTGACAAGCCTAAATATACATCTCTATTTATATTGATGCCATTCTGTCCTACACATGCTATTTATTCCAAATATTAAATAATTTTTAAAATGATTTCAGTAGAGAAATATCAAAAATTCCAGCAATAAAAATTGAACACATGATCAGATATTAGTATATTAACTCTTATCAACTGGGTAAAAAAGTAAAATGAAAAATATCCCAACAAAAGTATAAAATATATAGGAATACTAAAACAAGAATTGTTTTAGAGATAATTACAAAGTTTTGCTGAGTAATATTGAAAAACTAACTCTTCTGAGATTTGGCGAAATCTTGGTCAAACTAGCAAGGAGTTCCTTTTCCTCATAAAATGATTCTGATATCTACCTACTTAAACAAATAGAATAAGAAAATTTTTGAAAAAATTATAAATGGAAAATATCCCTCCCGGGTAGTAAGTCACATCAATAAAAAGTAAAATAAGGCCGGGCACGGTGGCTCATGCCTGTAATCCCAGCACTTTGGGAGGCCGAGGCGGGTGGATCAAGAGGTCAGGAGATCGAGACCATCCTGGCTAACACGGTGAAACCCCGCCTCTACTAAAAATACAAAAAATTAGCCGGGCGCCGTGGCAGGCGCCTGTAGTCCCAGCTACTCGGGAGGCTGAGGCAGGAGAATGGCGTGAACCCGGGAAGCGGAGCTTGCAGTGAGCCGAGATCGCACCACTGCACTCTGTCTGCCTGGGCGACAGAGTGAAACTCTGTCTCAAAAAAAAAAAAAAAAAAAAAAGTAAAATAAATAGATGTCAAATAAGCTTCAGAAAGAGAAAATGTGAAAACAGATTTTTCAAAATGTGTAATTCTCATATATAATAAAGCAGCATCTCAAAGCAATATGCTAGATTAGATTATTACTTTAATGAAATTAGGACATTAGACTAAATAATTTAATTGTTTGATTTCCCTTGTATTATTGGTCAAATAAATACTGAATGAACCAAATATTGAAATGTAAAGAGACAAGCCATAAACATACTAAAAGAAAATATAATTGAGGTGAAAAAGGATTTTAAAGAATGAACTCAAAGACACAAGACATTAGAAGTGTAGATTACACTCCACTAAGCAAAAAGTCAGAGTGGCAGTGTTTTGATACATATAATTCAAATACATGTTCAAAATTTAAATAAAAAGTTTAGGCCGGGCGCGGTGGCTCACGCCTGTAATCCCAGCACTTTGGGAGGGAAAACGGGAGGATCACGAGGTCAGGAGATCGGGACCATCCTGGCTAACACGATGAAACCCCATCGCTACTAAAAATACAAAAAAAAAAGCCGGGCATCGTGGCGGGCGCCTGTGGTCCCAGCTACTCGGGAGGCTGAGGCAGGAGAATGGCGTGAACCCGGGAGGCGGAGCTTGCAGTGAGCCGAGATCGCGCCATTGCACTCCAGCCTGGGCGACAGAGCGAGACTCGGTCTCAAAAAAAAAAAAAAAAAAATTAAAACATCCATATAACAAAAAGAAATTGTTATATTGCTTGAACTTAAAAATATTTCTTTTATATAGGTAATGGAGAAAACCATAAATAAAAATAAATTATTCATAATAATATGGAGACATTCCAAAAGTAATCAAAAATATAAATTAAAAATGTAAATGAATGTTTAGCAAAAATGAAAATAATGATGAGTAATGGCATACATATATAACTTCATGTATAATTACATATATAGTTACATGTATAATTACATATAAATACATATATATTATACGTACATTATTGAGGAAATTATAATGGTATTTATTTCTGTCATTTTGATAGTAAAAGTCAAAACACATGTTACGTAACATTTGATTGCCACTTTCACTCCTAGTAATGACTGCATGGAGAGATACCATGAAAGTTTAGGAATCTCAGCTCTCTTACTTGCTAGCTAGAACCAGCCACAATTTTCTTTTCTTTTCTTTTTTTTTTTTTTTGAGATGGAGTCTCTCTATGTCACCCAGACTGGAGTGCAGTGGCATGATCTTGGCTCACTGCAACCTCCACCTCCCGGATT
This sequence comes from Homo sapiens, assembly GCF_000001405.40. Taxonomy (NCBI): domain Eukaryota; kingdom Metazoa; phylum Chordata; class Mammalia; order Primates; family Hominidae; genus Homo; species Homo sapiens. Next base: position 238,870,727 of record NC_000001.11, on the reverse strand, counting down.
CAAGCGATTCTCCTGCCTCAGCCTCCTGAATAGCTGGGATTACAGGAGCCTGCCACCAAGCCCAGCTAATTTTTGTATTTTTAGTAGAGATGGGGTTTCAACATGTTGGCCAGGCTGGTCTCAAACTCCTGACCTCGTGATCCACCCACCTCAGCCTCCCAAAGTGCTGGGATTACAGGCGTGAGCCACTGCACCCAGCTCACAATTTTATTTTCTATAAAATGAATATGATCATATTTTCTCCTTATTTATTGTATTTGTATTTGTTGACATTGAAAGAAATTAATGTCTTATAACATGAGAAAAAATATCAAATCATATACACCCAGGTTTCCATTTATAGACAACAAATAAATATAGGAAATGGTTGGAAAATAAAATTTATTTCTGAGTGATTGGTTTACATGACTTTTTTGCTAAAATGACTTTTTTTAACTGTGTAATTATAAAAGAACAAGATATACATGAAACAAAAATGGACATTGGAAATATAAAAGCAGAAATTGTACTCTTTCTATACTTAATTGAGTAGTACCTTTTACTGAATAACTTCTTTATTGTATAAATTCTAGTTAATGAGCGACTTCTCAAATTCCTCTTATGGATCTATCGAACTGCTAAGGGAAGATAGGTGTCATAACATCCTTACTTTTCTACCTGCCTGCTCCCTTGGCCTGCAGTGTTTCACCCTCTTAAATCGCCAGTGTCCCCGTAGCTTTAAACCCCCAGTTCTTTAAACTGCAGTCTATCATCTTCCAGAAAGGATGAGATTTTTCTCTATTAATTTATTTTCCCTATTCTGGCTTCTTAACATGTTTTCATTTCCATGAACTCTTGATTGTTTTCTATTCTGACACTAATAGATTTAGTGCTAATCTCATTTTTCAGCTAGCCTACTAACAAACAAAACAACCTCAGACAAAGGTACTTAGAAGTCTTGCACCAACTGAATTATCAGGTGGTAATGGTTTTCAGACATATATAAAGAATTTTGATGAGTATAACCTTACTTATTTTAGCTGTCCCATTGAAAATGCCATGTCTTTTTGGCAAAAACAAGCAAACAAACATATAGCATGTTCAGCGAAGTTGTAATATATGTCTAACATTGAAGGTTGCCATTCTATTTACATTCCAAGCAAAAAAAAAGAAAGTGTTATAAGTAAAGTCCAAGTGGAGTAGCTACAATAGCTGTTATTTATTAAATTTATTTTAAAGAAGAAAACATAAGGCTACACAGCTATAGTGAAACTTCTAAATTGATTTCAATATCGTATAACATAGAACTAATTATGGTTTTAAGTATATATATATATTTTTGGCTTTCAACTACATAACATATTTGTCAATTGCTATCTAGTAAAACTTAGACATTGTAATATTTCACAAAATTTTTATGAAGTTCCTTGTACTTAGCTGGTGATACGGTTCATCAAATATTTTTATGCAGATAGCAGCCTGGTTTATATTTCTACATGAATGAATGAATGAAGGCTGAAATTCGATAAAATCAGTTTTTCAAGAATTTGTGGGGTTTAAATAATAGTTGGCATTATTTTAAAAAATAATTTATAAATAATATCTTAAATACAAAATATTGCTGCTTGAAAGTGGGAATGCGCAAAATAGGATCTAGGATTTGTTTTCAACTAGAAGAGAATATAGTCAGGATATTGCAACAACAGGAATTCAGTTTCTTAACTGCGTTGGGCAAATTCTTTTCAATTTCCCACTAGTGAAATAAAGGAGTTGTTGCATGAACTATCACTAGAATGCTTGCTGAGATTTTTCTTTTTTAAATGAATTCCTTTGATTTGAATTGCCTCAAAGGGTGGGGATAAAAGAGGTTGTATTAGACACCATTTCCAGATTGCTGCTTCTGTTTCTTTATAGATGTTTGTTTACACTCCTGGGCTTGGGTCTCAAAGGATGAGGCCAGACTAACTTCTGAAAAGAAAATATTGCCAGTAGTTCCACTCTTCTGAGCAACAATAAATATCACAGCACATAGACCTCTGGCTGTTTTTTTTTTTTTTTTGGTTTTGTTTTGTTTTTGTTTTTGTTTTTGTTTTTGTTTTCAGTTCAGCCATTCAGTATACAAGGCCATGGCCTTCAAAATCCCCAAGTCTTTAATTACCTGAGTATAAACTCTAGATAGTAAACATTTGACAAGAAGCAATTATTAAATTTAAACTTCTAGACCAGTTGTTCTTAGGCCTTTACATTTTGTCCAGTTAGTTTTAGATGACTCAATAGTGAAAGTATTTTTTAAAATGCAAGTAATTCTGTGGAAAAAAAAATTTTAGAATAATTTAATTTTGGGGACAAATTTTTATCTGTCAATTGAATTTCATATTGAGATTATTTAATTTAGAAACAGGTTATGAATTATTTATATTTTAATTTGAAATTTTTTCTCTATATATTTTACTTACCTTAAACATTCTTAGTTATAAACTTGAATTTTATCTTATTAACGGACATTTAGAATGTAACTGGTAGTGAAAAGTTTGTTTGCTTTTTATCGTCAACAATAGTTTATGTAAATTAAATGAATGGTAAGAAGATCTTCAAATAGAGGCGATTGTTATAGTAGGTATTCACTCTAACAGGAATAACAATAATTTCCAGTTACTTATATTTAATGTCAATCAAATTTTATTTGTGCTTATTATCAGATAATAGTCTGCACATAGTATGAAAAGTTCTTCCTACTTTTAATATATTTGAGCAATCTCTAGTTGATTTTCAAAACTAAGAAAATAGGAAAATCTGTATTTCAATCCCAATATTGTATATTACGTTGTCATTCAGCAAGTGTGTCACTGACTTCTTTGTACCACTTACAATCTAGAAAATAAAACATACAGAAAAGATGCCAATTTAGTTAGAAAAATTAAATGTTTATTATGTAAGCTCATAGGAAGAATAAAGAGCATCCTTTCTTCTTATCATGACTATCTGACTATTCCATTATCAGTCTACGTGTAAAATGAAATAAACTTCCAGTTTTGTTTTTGCTTTTTAATTTAGAGTTTCTTTTGCTTTTTTTTATATTTTTATTCCCAGGTAATTATGCCTGGTCAGCTTAGTTAGACAGATTTACGTGGTTTCCATTTTTAATTTTACACATATTATTCATCAATCAATCTGTAGTAATGCATAAAAACACAAACTATAATTCTACTCTCTCAAAAACAAACAATACATTGGAATAATAAAAATAACAAGAACATCAATAATGGTAATGATGTCTAACATTTATTTTGAGAAATACCCCAAATTTCCTAACTAATCATGAACTGTGCTCTTTGTGGGCTTGTTATTGAAAGCTTACTATGTTCCAGAAACTATGCTAGAAACTTGAACTTTACTAAATCTTTTAATTCTCACAGCAATGGCATAAGAAAGACACCATTATTAACTATCCCCAAACTTTTCTGCATTGGTTACTGTAACATCACTCCACTGAACAACTTTTGATAAGGTCATAAAAGACCAGCAAGTCACCAAGTACAATTAACATTCCTGTCTTTATGTAACTGGGCCAATCCATGTTGCCTTCTCCCCTTCCCTTCATCATTTGTCCCTCTCTTGTCTTCCCTCCTTTCTGCTCTTTCTCTTTCTCTTTCTTTTCCCTTTATCTTTATCTTTCTTGCAGTAAGGTGAGTCTGAGTTACTGTGCTCTTTGATTCCCCAGTGCATATCATATCTGCTTTTCTTCTCTCCAAATCAGATTTTCTTCCCATAATTTAATGTTTGAGAATATTAAATTTTGTTTTGTGCTGTGCAGTGAAGACATCCTCATATATCTTATTTCAGCATTTTTGCCTTTTTTAAATGATGAGCAAATTTAGATTTTAAGACAGACTGCACCATTAGCTGTGGATTATTTATTCACTTGACTATTCTTTCAACTTATAATTATGAGCTGTTACTGTTTTCTCTACACAGTGCTGGTCTCTGTTCACTGGAGATGCAGTCATGCAAGAACCAAAAACAAATCCTTCAAACAACATTTCCCCTAAAGGGCTTACAGATTTTGTTCAAATCATTTTATGATAACTGAGATAAATTGTGAGAAATAAATGAGAATCTTAATAAAGAAAATTAACCCGCACTAGGGGGTTCGGGGGAAAGCATCCCTAAGGAAGTTGCTATTGTGCTGTGATCTGGTGCAGGGACTGAGAAGAGCTCACCAGGCTGTAGAAAGAAGACTGCATTTTCTATGCCAGCAGCCTCACTGCTAAAGTGTATTTTATCAAGTCTTTCTGATCTCGCAGGTTGCAAGTTAGTTCTCTAAAGCTAGCGTGAATTTTCTTTCAGCATACCATCAACTCGGTTCTTACTTTCTTCTCAAGCTCCAGCTCAAAAATTATAATCACTCAACTCTGTAGGTTAAACACACACACACACACACAAACACAGACACACACACACACACACACAAATAAAGATGCTTCTAAGAAAGAAAGGGTTAATAAAATCACCAGGTAATGATCCAAAACAAATTGTTGCTTCCTGTGTTCTGAATTTCATTGTTTCAAAATAAGAGGGGTAATGATTTAAGGGAAGGATATGGAATTATTTTATTGAGAATATGAATTCCCCACTCACAGAGATATAGATATGACAAGTTTTGAAATAACTATCTGTTGTTAAAATGCAAGATATATTTATCAATTATCATTCATGCATGATCTTTGTGCCTTAGTTGATTTAATTATTTACGGGTTTTAGCTTTTTCTCCTACATGTTCTCCCTCTAGTATTCTGTAAGTTGAAGTCTGAAACCTCAAAATTATCATCAGTTTTTGTAATGACATCCTTCTGGGAATCTACATTCAGAAACATGTTATTACTGTGAGATTATTTTCCAGTCCTTAATCTATATTTCTTTCTTTGGGAATTCAAAGGATACACTCTTTTTTCCTCCAAATACACCCATCACAACCTCTCAGCAAAACAAAGTCTTGTTAACGTGGAAGATGAGTGGATGAACACAGTGTATTTATAAGAGTGCTTCTAGTATTGAGTGAGCAAAACAGTTTTAAACTAGGACTGGAGCCAGCACATATATATATATATATATATATTTCTCTTTAAAGGTTTGACAAGCGAAGTACCATAATGTCATGAGAGATATGGTTCTTGTCACCTTTCCAAATGGGCTGAGATGAGGAAGATTTGTTGGAAGTTTTTGTTCTATCAAGCTTCCCACTATAAATTCAAGAAAGAATATTCTACTTGTCTCTCTGTGCTTTTTCATTTTGTTGCCATTGGTTTTTATTTTTAAGATGGCCAAAACCTTCCTGTCAGATTTGATTGTTTTGGAAGAAAATATTTTTAAGGTAGCTATATGAAGCAGTTTTTATATTATTGATAAGCAGAGAGATTCTAGGCAGAAAAGGGTGGGTTCCCAGTGAAAACCCCAACCTCAAGCTGAAAAACCTGAAGCTGTGACCCCAAGTGAGAACTTCCACACCTGTTTTCCCTCTCAAATGCTGCCTTTTCCTAAACTACCCATGGCCTGTCCCTCCCCATCCTTTGCCTATAAAGACCCCAGACTCAGCCAGCAGAGGGGAGAAGCAGCTGGATTCAGGGCTACAGCTGGACATTGGAGAGAAGCAGCTTGACTTTAGAGGGACAGTTTGACAATGTAACTTTGGAGAAGAATCCTGCCAGAGATGGCCGGACTTCAGAGGAAGATTACCTCCTTCCTCCCCGTCCCCTTTTCAGCTCCCCTTCCTGCTGAGAGCCACTTTCATCAGCAGTAAAATCCCCCACATTTACCATCCTTGAATTCATTCATGCGACCTCATTTTTCCTGGATGCCAGATAAGAGCTTGGCAACCACAAGTGTGGACACAAAAGGCTGTCACACTGGCCTTTTGCCTTCGCTGGTGGAGGGTAGCCACCTCACCCAATGAGGCAAAGGGCCCACTCAGCTGTTTACGCTTTAGCCATCTGCAAACAGTAGAGCTAAAAGAGCACTGTAACACTCCCTCTGGGGCTTCAGGGGTCACAGGCACCCCTGCCCCCAGCAACCTGGATGCTGCTGTGGGACCCACACAGAGTTTGCTTCTGGCAGCACTGAAGTGGCTGGCCAGTTCCAGCACTCATGCACTCCAGTTTCTGCCTCATTCAGCCACACAATCCCTCCCTCCCATGAAGAGTTGAGAGCAGTGGCTGAATAAATGAGGCACCCCTGTTGCATGTCCCTCAAAGGGGTCAGGGAAATATCCTGCTTCACTACCCTTAGCATCAATAACAACAACAACAAAATGTCATCTTAAAACCTTGTGTGTCCTTTAATAGGATTTATAAGAGTTAAAGTAAATGAGCTATATGCAGGGACAGGATTTTTTTTTTAATGTTATAGTTTTTTAAAATAAAAGAGTTGAATTTTGAAACAAATTTTAGAAAATAGGCATGTTGTAAAGAAAAGTAGAGAAATTGAATGTAAAGAATATCATTTTTGAGAAGAGACAGATTTGAATCCAAATATTTTTGTCACTTGTGGAGCTAAAACACTTAAAAGCAATTAAAAAAAAATTGAGGCCTCAGCTCCTTATGTTTAAACCGAGAATAATATCAACTTCTAAGTATCTTACGGTAGTGAGGATTAAATGAGTTTACTCATAAAAATTACAGGAGACCACATCTTGCATTTGTTGTTAAATTGTATAGTTTCTGCTGCTGTTGTTTTGTTGCTGTTGTTATTCCACTATCTTCATTAAGTCATCTCAACATGAGGTATAGGTGTTACCTCCAGTTTCTAAACAGTTTCTAGCCTATGATTTCCAAACTCTTCTGTCAAATTGCATTATCAGGTTGCAAGAAGGTTAATTAATTAAAAGGAATGAAACACTAAAGAGGAGATAACCACAAAACAAAGAACAGATCAAATCCACAATATAGTTAAGACCTCACTGAATGCTGTGGATAGGTTCTTGGAAACTACAACTTTGAACAAAATGAGGTAAAAGGAAGCCAATTTTATCACAGGCTAATTGATACAAACAAAAGCTAAGTTTCTACAGCATATTTATGGTCACAAAGACATCACCAAATAAATGTGAGCTATATATTTAAGAAATATTAATAAAAACAAGATGATTAGCCAATTTTTCGTGAATCAGGGAGTGATGGCTGTCATCCTGGTGGTGGGTTCATTCAAGGAATAAATGTTTGCAAATAAAAATAATAAAGAACACCTCCCACCATCACACAGTTGAAAAACAATCTCTAATACAGCAGCTTGCTGAGTGCTTTCCAACAGCATCATTTGTTGTTGCAAATTTGGATGATTATCTATATTTGACATATTTTTATTTAGCAATAATTTGTATCCACTCATATATTTATTTTCCAACCCTCTTGTTCCACTTCAGGGTTAGAGGTGGCAGGAGCCTATCCCAGCAGCTCAGGGCACAAAGCAGGGATCCATCGTGGACGGGCAGCTGTCCCATCGGGTGGGCATACACACCCACGCAAACTCACACTCACTCAAATTAGGAGTATTGAGATGCACGCAATAACCTGATAAGCACAACCTTAGGATGTGGGAGGAAACTGGAGCACCCAGGGAAAACTCACACAGACATATGTAAAGTCCATACAGGCAGTGGTCCTGGCTGAGAATCAATTTTATTTTCCCTGTCGATGTTATAACAGAATAATGTTGAATGAAACAATATTTTTAATGACTTCCTGAAGATAGAATTTAAATTATATGGTGAGTAGTCATGAGCCAACTTTTATCGAGCAGAGTCTGCTCTTATGGGAAGAAAATATTTTGTATAGTTGTGGTATTTGTCTTAGCAATTTGTTTTCATCTTACAGTCCCTGAACCAAGAAAGGAAATACAACTTGTATTATTTTAACAACATCTCCTCAATATAAATGTTATCATAATGGAGAAGATTATTCTAAACAATATTTAAGAAAACACTGAGTTCAATTTGAAAGTATGTTTGACAAGAAAAGTAGAAATTAAACTCTTGGTTAAATTTGAAAAGTAAGCCCTTTTCCTTTCATGCCTGTATCAGATAGAGTTTGGTGAATGATGTGGAATAAAAGATTTATTACAGGGTCAGGATACAATTTTGGGAGAAATTGGGAAAGTAAAGCTCTAAATGGGATTGGTTGCTGCATTAGAGAAAATTCACCAGCTGGGGACTAGGGATGACAAAGGGAGCTGGTGAAGAACCTGTGAAGGTCTGTTGTCTGTGCATTTGCTGATGGGGAGTCCTGAAGTTGCTGTAAGTTAAGCAAGAAAGATAGTTGCCACGCAGCATAAAGGGGAGAAGTCAAGGACATGCTGGGACTTGCAAAGACAAATTGTAATTTACAAAGAAAATCAGGAGCTCACAAAGACAAATTGGAACCCATGTGGGTCTCTCACTTCAGCTAGCCCAAGACCACATAGGTGACCAGCACAAGAAGCTGTTGACCTACTTGCAACGGCTGCACACACAAGTGGCCCTGAACTCTGAAGTTTAACAAGGAGATCCAGTGGGAGGTACAGGAGCTGAAGGGCATGGGTGTGAGGCAGAATAGGGTCTGCAGGGAGGGAACCTAACTTCCAGAACTGACTTCCAGAACTAAATCATCAGAAAAAACCCAACCTTCTAAGACCAAGTAAATAACTTTGTAAATCTACTTCAGCTCTGACAGGAAACATCCTCTTCATTTGCACAGGGCGCACACCAAGTAAATAACTTTGTAACCTCACTTCATACTCTTCATTTGCATAGGGTGCACATCAAGTAAATAACTTGGTGACCTCACTTCATACTTTTCATTTGCATAGGGTGCACACCAAGTAAATAACTTTGTAACCTCCCTTCAACCTCTTCATTTACATAGGGTGTAGTACACCAAGTAACCAATGGGAAATATCTAGGAAGTATTTAAACACCAGCGAATTCTGTAACAGGGCCTTTGAGCCCCTTGCTCGGGCCTGCTCCCAACCTATGGAGTGTGCTTTCATTTTCAGTAAATCTCTACTTTCGTTGCTTCATTCTTCCCTTGTTTTGTTTGTGCGTTTTGTCCAATTCTTTGTTCAAGATGACAAGAACCTGGACACCCTCCACCGGTACAGCTGCCTAATGTCACGGAGATGAGCCAGCCTATCAGCTAAAAACAGGTGAGAGATTCTCCTGCAGAGTGTAAGGGCGGCTGCTTCTCTCCTCCCTTCCAGAGCTCCTCCTCATTTCTCTTGTGGGCAGTCCTAACCTAGAAACATGTAAGGAAGGGTATCTGAGGAATGCAGTTTCAGTGTTTCCTCTAGACTAATCCAAAGTGGAAGAAGAGCTAAAAGTTAAAGCTATGTTATAAATCTGATAAAGCCAAGAAGTTCTTGATTAGTTGATTTCACACTATTCACTTTTATGTGGCCTATTCCAATAGGTACAAATCTTATGAATTAACATTGCAGTTATTACTCCTCGATTTTAATTGTTCTATTATTTTTAGGACAATATAAATAAGAGTGCTGTCCTTATCAGCAATAATCTAGCAATATAAAAAGGAACTATTTGGCACTAAAGTGTAATTTACTTAATAATTTATCGAATGTATTGTATATATTTAAAATAAAATTTTCCTCTATTGAATATCACAGGGCAAAGAAAAGGTCTTGCTTAAAATGGGATTTCAGAGGATACAAAATTATCTTGTTTATACATTTTTAAAGCAACCAACCCTACAGTTGAGAAAATATTTCTTTGAAAATAGACTGAAGAATTTTCTTAAAGCAGTCATGATTAGGGACACTGAAATGAAATATAGAATCTCTAACATGAGGGATTTTTCTAGTTTTAATTAAGTTGACCCTTACAGTGCTGATATATTTCTGTCTTTAAATTGAGCAAGATATAATATATACATCTTTACAGTAATGGCCTCTTATGAATAGCACTTAAAAGTTCTCATTTGCATACTATGACTTAAATGGCTTTATCTTTAGGGATACATCTACTTTATTTAATTCATTTTTCTTCTTTCTCAACTTTTATTCATCCCAAATCAAAAGTTGGGAATCTTAGTGGTTGGAGAAAAATGTGTTAATCCAAATTAAATAACAGAACAAATGAGGATGTCTCTTAAGATCTTTCTCTTATATTCTTTTATCTCACTCTCCATTAATAATCACACCTACTCCCATAACTGGAACCAAAACCTCAATGTGGTGATTCCACTTTCACAAAGTCAGCTTCAAACACTTGCCTGGATTATGGATTTTCCTACTCCTCTTGGTACTTGAGTTTTCTTGAGCTTTTCTGCACTATGGGAGTAATAAACATTAATGCTCAAATTAGAATGTCTTTCCTCCCACTACAGTTTCTCCCATCTATTTCTGGGAGTCCCTACAGAATTGTCACGTGTGCTTTGGGACAGGCCTATTCATGGTTATTCATTGGCACCTAGGTCTCCTCTTCAAAGTGCCTCACCACCTCTGTCACCAGTGCCCTCAGCGAGAAGCTCAGCTGTCCAGTCGCAGGCCCTCTGGGTCTACCCTTGGTATACCCGGGTACACGATGACTTCAGGTGTCTGTGGTGGAGCATTGAGGAGAAGAGAGCTCTAGTCAGTCTGTGTGATCCTGTGCTCTTTATTCCCAAATAATCTCTGCTAGTTCCTAGATGCTCAGAGCCATCCATGGATACAGCTCCTTTGGTTTTGACAACTCTTTTTGTTGGCTTAAAAAATTGGTCTCTTAAATGACTCCTTTAATTGTATAATGAATTAATCTTACTATACCTCTCCTTCTACATAAAAATTAATTTCTTGCATCCGAACAATGATAACAAACAAATCTAAATGACTCAGAAAAACCTGAGCCCATAGGTTTCCCCGAGAGGTAAAATCTGCCTCCCATATGGACTTGATTTGGTATTCTACTCAATAGTATTAATATTCTTTCAATCGCTCAGCCTTAAATTCTGAGTTTTCTGACTCCTTTTCCAATCAACTAACATATATAGTCAGTTTTCAATGCAATGGCTTCCTCCAGCCTTCTCTTTTCTTTTTTTTTTACCACTCTATATAAATTGTGCTTTCTCTCAATTAATAAATAAGTTTTCTAGAGTCTGTGTGTGTGGGTGAGTGAATGCATGCAATTAAACTTTGGACTTATCACTATGACAGTGGTTAAAAGATAAAATGAGAGGAAGGAGAAGGAGAGATAAAGAAGTTATTTCCAGGTCTACAGAGTAAGAAGCAAAAATAATCAGCAGTCAAGCTTAGGGTACCCAAGAAATACAAAACAGAGTTAGTCTCACTCACATATTATTTCATTTATTTATTTATTTATTTATTTTTAATTTTTTTTTTTTTTTTGAGATGGAGTTTCACTCTGTCGCCCAGGCTGGAGTGCAGTGGCACGACCTTGGTTCACTGCAACCTCTGCCTTCCGAGTTCAAGCAATTCTCCTGCCTCAACCTCCCCAGTAGCTGGGATTACAGGCATGCACCACCATGCCCAGCTAATTTTTGTATTTTTGGTAGAGACAGGGTTTCACCGTGTTGGCCAGGCTAGTCTCAAATTCCTGAACTCAGGTGATCCACTTGCCTCGGCCTCCCAAAGTGCTGGGATTACCACTGTGAGCCACTGTGCCCGGCCTTCTGTTTTGTTGCTGTTGTTGTTGTTTTTCTAAGACAGATTCTTGTTCTGTCTCCCAGGATGGAACGCAGTGGCACAGTCAGGGCTCGCTACAACCTCAGCCTTCTAGATTCAAGCGATCCTCCCATCTCAGCCTGCCGAGTAGCTGGGACTACAGGTGCATGCCACCATGCCTGGCTAATTTTTACTTTCTGTGGAGAAGGAGTCTCCCTATGTTGCCCAGGCTAGTCTTGGGCTCCAAGTCTCAAGTGATGCTCTCACCTTGGCCTCCCAAATTGTTGGGATTAGAGATGTGAGCCACCGCACCCTGCCACACTAATTTTACACCCCAAGGTAGTTGAAAACAAAATGAAGCCAAATCATGTATTATTTAAAGTATAATATGGCTAATGATGTAGCCAAGAATAAAGGCAAAATAGGTTTGTAACATACTCAGGTAAGGGAAAATATAGAATAGCCAGAAAGAATAGATTGGTTAATGCAATCAAGTGATTAGACTTTTATACAGACAATTGAAAATAAGAGATTATCCTGTCCCTATGTTTGCATGTGAATAGAATTTTTATATCAAGCTAAAGGTATAATTGTAGAGTAGTGATTTTTTTAAATTTTTATTTCATTGTAAACTGACAATTTAAAATTGTATATATTTTTGAGGTACAAAGTAATATTATGCCTTATGAATATAATGTGGAATAAAAGCTTAAATCAAGCTATCCTATCCATCACTAGAATAGTGATTTACGAAGTAGAGATCAGGAAGATACATAGTGGTACAGAAGCAAACATCAGAACTCTTATTAGTATTCATTTAAATCTAAAGAATAAATACTTTAATAATTACTAATATTTAAATGCATACCTTAATTTACAGATTGACACTGGCCCTCTTTCCTGGTCTAAGTGTCAGGTGGTCACATATTATACATGTTAAAAGTTGTTCATATCCCAACACAGATACAGTGGTAACTCACTCATTCCTTCATGTTTGGCAAGTAGGAAAGTATTGCATACTATATGCCCAATTTAGGATAGACAGAATATATTATCTAGTCTCAATTAACTTAATTTTCACCTATAAAAATTCAACATTTTCCTCACGCAGGGAGAATTGTAATGAGACTTTAATCCAGTTTGCAAACATTATTATACTTTACAATATTTCTAAACTTTTGGATATGACTTTACAATACTTTACAATATTTCTAAACAGAATGGGTACTACTATTGGTTAAATAAAAATGTATTTGTAATTATCTTGCTAATTGCAACGGCTTCATAATTTTATTTGCTTGTATCTTAAAGGCGCAATGTTCATTATGAGAAATGGTTGCAAATCAAAATTTCAAATAGTTTAGAAAATGTCCAAAGGTTCTATGCTAACTTATTCTTGTATCTGATTAGATTCCCATTGTGTTTTATTCCTACAAATACTGGAGAAGTGTCAGATATGCCTTTATGTCCTGATTAGGTCTTTGTTTTTGTTATAATGTTCAGTCCATAAAGCATTTAGGGAAAACTGTGTCAAGCCTTATTCTGAGGCAGGCTTTAGTTAACACATGATAATATAGTCCATGAAACATCTAAATCTTACACCTTAAGTATTTGACACTTATGACAACTTCTACTTAAGATATAAACTAGCTCTAGTGACTTTATATATCTGCTCAATTTAAATAATACTTCATAATTTTCTGCTAAATTTATAAAGAATTCCTCAATCTAGCACCCTCAAATTCTGAAACTCTAGCTTTAGTATAACGTTTTAACTTAGCGTCTCATTAAAGTCCTTCAAGTCCTCTGCTGTATGCTCAAACAGATCTCTATCATTCCTTGGATAACTTTCTGCTTTACAGCGTTTGCTCAATGCAGTCATTATCCTTCTAAGGCCTTCCCTACCCTCAGAAGTAAGAGTGTTGAAATCCTATTATCTTTCTAGATTCCCCTCAAATGTGACCTCTTCTGTGATGCCTTCTTTGATCAAATCAATGAGGAGCCACTTCTTCCGTCTTTGTATTCCCACAGCACTTAATATATCTTTACAGCAGTTACAGCCATCTGCCCTGTAGCAAAGGTGTTTATGAATACTTTTCTCCCACTAAAATATACAATCAGCCCAACAATATTTCTTGTCATACACTCTTCCACTCTTCAGAATGCTTTTTGGATTAAAAAGAAGTTAGTAAAATGAATAAATGATGATATAGAGGCAACAGATTTTTGTCCTTTGGAATTTATAACAAAAATATAAATGAAGTTTTTATTGAACCCATGCTCCATTTAATATTTTGGACAAAGTTAAAATTTTTACATGTGCTCTTCACAGTGAGTTCCTTTTAGTGTGATTTTTACCTTTGTAATTTAGTTTCTAAAAAATTCTACAAATTTAATTTACTTCTATTCTCCTCTATTGATTTCTTGGTTTACTCAATACTTAAAAAATTTACTTCATGTTTACGAGTTTACATAACATTCAATTTACATCAGGAGTTCAAAGTTCGCCTCTTTTTTTTTAGATTTTCGTTATTCTTTATTTCTTCTAAAACAAACAAACAAAAACCCCAGATACATGTTCAGAACGTGCAGGTGTGTTGCATAGGTATATGTGTGCCTTGGTGGTTTGTTGCACCTATTGACCTGTCCTCTAAATTCTTCCCCTGAACTGCCACTCCCCACCAGGCCCTGGTGTGTGTTGTTCCCCTCTCTGTGTCCATGTTTTCTCAATGTTCAACTCCCAGTTATGAGTGAGAACATGCCGTGTTTGGTTTTCTCTTTCTGTGTTAGTTTGCTGAGGTTGATGACTTCCAGCTTCATCCATGTCCCTGCAAAGGACAGGATCTCATTCCTTTTTATGGCTGCATAGTATTCTATGATGTATGTGCACCACATTTTCTTTATCCATTCTATCATTGATAGGCATTTTGGTTGATTCCATGTCTTTGCTCTTGTAAATAGTGCTGCAATAAACATACTTGTGCATGTGTCTTTATAGTAGAATGATTTATATTCCTTTGGGTACAAACCCCGTAATGGGATTGCTGGGTCAATTGGTATTTCTGGCTCTAGATCCTTGAGGAATTGCCATAATTACTTCCACAATGGTTGAACTAATTTACAGTCCCACCAACAGGGTAAAAGCATTCCTATTTCTCCACAGCCTCGCCAGCATCTATTGTTTCCTGAATTTTTAATAGTCACCATTCTGACTGGTGAGAGATGGTATCTCATTGTGGATTTGATTGAAATTTCTCTGATGATCAGTGATGTTGAGCTTTTTTTCATATGTTTCTTGGCTGCGTAAATGCCTTCTTTGAGAAGTGTCTGTTCATATACTGTGCCCACTTTTTTTATTATTATACTTTAACTTCTGGGGTACATGTGCAGAATGTGCAGGTTTGTTTCATAGGTATACACATGCCATGGTGGTTTGCTGCACCCATCAACCCATCACCTACATTAGGCATTTCTCCTAATGCTATCCCTCCCCTAGCCCACCACCCCATGACAGGCCCCAGTGTGTGATGTTCCCCTCCCTGTGTTCATGTGTTCTCATTGTTCAACTTCCACTTCTGAGTGAGAACATGCAGTGTTTGGTTTTATGTTCTTGTGTTAGTTTGCTGAGAATGATGGTTTCCAGCTTCATCCATGTCCCTGCAAAGGACATGAGTTCATCCTTTTTTATGGCTATATAGTATTCCTTGGTGTATATGTGCCACATTTTCTTTATTCAGTCTATCATTGATGGGCATTTGGGTTGGCTCCAAGTCTTTGCTATTGTGAATAGCACCGCAATAAACATACGTATGCATACCTTTATAGTAGAATGATTTATAATCTTTTGTGTATATACCCAGTAATAGGGTTGCTAGGTCAAATGGTATTTCTAGTTCTAGATCCTTGAGGAATCACCACACTGTCTGCCACAATGGTTGAATTAATTTATACTCCCACCAACAGTGTAAAAGCTTTCTTATTTCTCCACATCCTCTCCAGCATCTGCTGTTTCCTGACTTTTTAATGATTGCCATTCTAACTGGTGTGAGATGGTATCTCATTGTGGTTTTGCTTTGCATTCCCCTAATGACCAGTGATGATGAGCTTTTGTTCATATGTCCGTTGGCTGCATAAATGTCTTCTTTTGAGAAGTGTCTATTTATATCCTTGGCCCACTTTTCGATGGGGTTGTTTGTCTGTTTCTTGTAAATTTGTTTAAGTTTTTGTAGATTCTGGATATTAGCCCTTTGTTAGATGGATAGATTGCAAAAATATTCTCCCATTCTGTCAGTTGCCTGTTCACTCTGATGATAGCTTCTTTTGCTGTGCAGAAGTTCTTTGGTTTAATTAGGTCCCATTTGTCAATTTTGGCTTTTGTTGCCATTGCTTTTGGTGTTTTAGATATGAAGTCTTTGCCCATGCCTGTGTCCTGAATGGTATTGCCTAGGTTTTCTCCTAGGATTTTTATGGTTTTAGGACTTACGTTTAAGTCTTTAATCCACCTTGAGTTAATTTTTGTATAAGGTGTAAGGAAGGGGTCCAGTTTCAGTTTTCTGCCTGTGGCTACCCAGTTTTCCCAACACCATTTATTAAATAGGGAATCTTTTCCCCATTGCTTGTTTTTGTCAGGTTTGTCAAAGATGAGATGGCTGTAGATGTGTGGTGTTATTTCTGAGGCCTCTGTTGTGTTCCATTGATCTGTATGTCTGTTTTGGTACTGGTACCATGCTGCTTTGTTTACTGTATCCTTGTAGTATAGTTTGAAGTCAGGTAGTGTGATGCCTCCAGCTTTGTTCTTTTTGCTTAGGATTGTCTTGGCTATAAGGGCTCTTTTTGGGTTCCATATGAAGTTTAAAGTAGTTTTTTCCAGTTCCATAAAGAAATTCAAGGGTAGCTTGATGGCCATAACATTGAATCTATAAATTACATTGGACAGTATGGCCATTTTCACCATATTTATTCTTCCTATCCACGTGCATTTGCTGTATTCAAGAGACCCATCTCACATGCAAAGATACATATAGGCTCAAAATAAAGGGATGGAGGAATATTTACCAAGCAACTGGAAAGCAAAAAAAAGAGTGGGAGTTGCAATCCTGGTCTCTGATAAAACAGACTTTAAACAAACAAAGATCAAAAGAGACAAAGAAGGTCATTACATAATGGTAAAGCAATCAATGCAACAAGAAGAGCTAACTATCCTAAATGTATATGCACCCAATACAGGAGCACCCAGACTCATAAAGCAAATTCTTAGAGAACTACAAGGAGACTTAGACTCCCACACAATAATAGTGGGAGACTTTAACACCCCACTGTCAATATGAGACAGATCAACGAGACAGAAAATTAACAAGGATATTCAGGACTTGAACTCAGCTCTGGACCGAGTGGACCTAATAGACATCCACAGATCTCTCCACCCCAGAGTATACATTCAATAGAATGTATATTCAATAGAATATACATTCTTCTCAGCACCTCATCACACTTATTCTAAAATTGACCACATAATTGGAAGTAAAATACTCCTCAGCAAATGCAAAAGAATGGAAATCATAACAAACATCGTCTCAGACCACAATGCAATCAAATTAGAACTCAGGATTAGGAAACTCACTCAAAACTGCTCAACTACATGGAAACTGAAGAACCTGCTCCTGAATGACTACTGGGTACATAACGAAATTAAGGCAGAAATAAAGATGTTCTTTGAAACCAATGAGAACAAAGATACAATGTACCAGAATCTCTGGGACACATTTAAAGCAGTGTGTAGAGGGAAATTTATAACTCTAAATGCCCACGAGAAAGCAGGAAAGATCTAAAATTGACAACCTAACATCACAATTGAAAGAACCACAGAAGCAAGGGCAAACAAATTCAAAAGCTAGCAGAAGACAATAAATAACTAAGATCAGAGAAGAACTGAAGGAGATAAAGACCCAAAAAAAAACCCTTCAAAAATCAATTAATCCAGGAGCTAGTTTTGAAAAGATCAACAAAATATCCACTAGCCAGAATAATAAAGAAGAAAAGAGAAAAGAATCAAATAGATGCAATAAAAACGATAAAAGGGATATCACCACAGATCCCACAGAAATACAAACTATCATCAGAGAATAATATAAACACCTCTACACAAATAAACTCGAAAATCTAGAAGAAATTGATAAATTCCTGGACACATACACCCACCCAAGTCTAAACCAGGAAGACATCGAATCCCTGAATAGACCAATAACAAGTTCTGAAATTGAGGCAGTAATTAGTAGCCTACCAACCAGAAAAAGTCCAGGACCAGATGGATACACAGCCAAATTCTACCAGAGATACAAAGAGGAGCTGGTACCATTCCTTCTGAAACTATTCCAAACAATAGAAGAAGAGGAAATCTTCCCTAACCCATTTTATGAGACCAGCATTATCCTGATACCAAAACCTGGCAGAGAAACAACAAAAAAGAAAATTTCAGGCCAATATCTCTGATGAACATTGATGTGAAAATCCTCAATAAAATACTGACAAACCGAATCCATCAGCACATCAAAAAGCTTATCCACCACGATCAAGTTGGCTTCATACCTGGGATGCAAGGCTGGTTCAATATATGGAAATCAATAAACATAATTTGTCGCATAAACAGAATCAAAGAGAAAAACCACATGTATATCTCAATAGATGCAGAAAAGGCCTTTGACAAAATTCAACACCCCTTCATGCTAAAAACTCTCAATAGACTAGGTATTGATGAATCATATCTCAAAATAATAAGAGCTATTTATGACAAACCAACAGCCAATATCATACTGAATGGGCAAAAGCTGGAAGCATTACCTTTGAAAACTGGCACAAGACAAGGGTGCCCTCTCTCACCACTCCTATTCAACATAGTATTGGAAGTTCTGGCCAGGGCAGTCAGGCAAGAGAAAGAAATAAAGAGTTTTCAATTACGAAAAGAGGAAATCAAATTGCTTCTGTTTGCAGATGACATGATTGTATATTTAGAAAACCCCACTGTCTCAGCCCCAAATCTCCTTAAGATGATAGGGAACTTCGGCACAGTCTCAGGATACAAAATCAATGTGCAAAAATCACAAGCATTCCTATACACCAATAACAGACAAACAGAGAGCCAAATCATGAGTGAACTCCCATTCACAATTGCTACAAAGAGAATAAAATACCTAGGAATACAACTTACAAGGGATGTGAAAGACCTCTTCAAGAGAACTACAAACCTTTGCCCACTTTTTGATGGGGTTGTTTGTTTCTTTCTTGTAAATATGTTTAAGTTCCTTGTAAATTCTGGGTATTAGACCTTTGTCACATGGGTAGATTGAAAACGTTTTCTCCCATTCTGTATGTTTCCTGTTCACTCTGATGGTAGTTTCTTTTGCTGTGCAGCAGCTCTTTAGTTTAATCAGATCCTAATTGTCAATTATGGCTTTTGTTGCAATTGATTCTGGAGTTTTTGTCATGAAGTCTTTGCCCATGCCTATGTCCTGAATGGTATTGCATAGGTTTTTTTCTAGGGTTTTTATGGTTTTGGGATTTACATTTAAGTCTTTAGTTCATCTTGAGTTAGTTTTTCTATAAGATGTGTAAGGAAGGAGTCCAGTTTCAATTTTCTACATATGGCTAGCACCATTTACTGAATAAGAGATCCTTTACCCACTGCTTGTTTTTGTCCAGTTTGCCAAAGATCAGATAGTTGTAGATGTGAGGTGTTATTTCTGAGATCTCTGTTCTGCTCCATTGGCCTATATGTCTGTTTTGGTACCAGTGCCATGCTGTTTGGGTTACTGTAGCCTTGTAGTATAGTTTGAAGTCAGGTAGCGTGATGCCTCCAGTTTTGTTCTTTTTGCTTAGGATTGTCTTGGCTATGCAGAGTCTTCTTCGATTCTATATGAAATTTAAAACAGTTTTTTTTTTCTAATTCTGTGGAGAATGTCAATGGTAGTTTCACGGGAACAGCATTGAATCTATAAATTACTCTGGGCAGTATGGACATTTTGACAATATTGATTATTCCTGTACATGAGGATGCAATGTCTTTCTATTTGTTTGTGTCCTATCGTATTTCCTTGAGCAGTGGTTTGTAGTTCTCCTTGAAGAGATCCTTCACATCCCTTGTTAGCTGTATTCCTAGGTATTTTATTCTCTTTGTAGGGATTGTGATTGGGAGTTCATTCATGATTTGGCTCTCTGCGGGCCTGTTGTTGTTGTAAAGTAATGCTTGTGAATTTTACACAAAATTTTGATTTTGTTTCCTGATACTTTGTTGAAGTTGCTTACCAGTTCAAGAAATTTTGGGGCTGAGATGCTGGGTTTTTCTAAATAGAAAATTATGTCGTCAGCAAACAGAGACAACTTGACTTCCTCTCTTCCTATTTGAATACTTTTACGTCTTTCTCTTGCCTGATTAGTCTGGCCAGAATTTCTAATACTATATTGAATAGGAGTGGTGAGAGAGGGCTTCTTTGTCTTGCACCGGTTTTCCAAGGGGATGCTTCCAGCTTTTGCCCATTCAATATTATATTGGCTGTGGGTTTGTCATAAAGCTCTTATTATTTTGGGAAATGTTTCATCAATACCTAGTTTATTGTGAGTTTTTAACATGAAGGTATATTGAATTTTATTGAAGGCCTTTTCTTCATCTATTGAGATGTGGTTTTTGCCATTGGTTCTGTTTATGTGATAGATTACATTTCTTGATTTGCTCCACTTTTACCTTTAGTATAAAAACTTCCCAATGCTATTGTCAGAAACCAAGTGCTATTTATTTAATAAGAAGATTTAAGACAAAAGGCAGCAAGACAGTCTTGCGTATCTTCAAGATATTACTGTGTGTGTGTGTATGTTTGTGTGTGTGTGAATTTGTCTTTGGGAAGCTTATTTTTCCATAAACAATACAATTCTGCATTTCTAAATATTAGGAGAAAACAAATAGCAGTTCAATGATGTTTCCACAAACTATTAAATTTTAAAATATTTTCTCTAATTTTGAACATGTGCCTTTTGAAAACAAATGACTCTTTTAATAAGAGAAACTAGTGCATAGGAAAAAGATGAAAAGTTTTGAAGTATGAGTTCATTCTGGACAAAATAGAGCAAAACACGAATGCAGTAAACCCTGGCTTAATGAACAGCATCCACAGTGATGAGTCCCCTCTCAGCCAACTGCCTCATGTCTCCCTAGTGTCTACTGTGATTTACGATGACTAACATCAAAATAAACCTTGGGGACAGGAGAAGCAGAGGTGTGGTCCAGAGAGTTGTGAAGAACATGGAAGAGAGTGAGCTGGATAGTGAGTCTACATAGGTCACTGTAATTGGAAATAACTCTTATTTGTAGCCAAGGGAATCTACTCTTTTGAGCTAAAGGGATTAAATAAGACAAAAGAAGGAGTGGACTGAAAAAATCATTTTCTAAGCTAAGCTTCAGGGAATGATTATCAAACTCCACCACAAAATACAGATTCCAAAAAAATGGATTTTTCTACCACACTTAGGAAGCTGTAGATAAATAAGCCAGAACTGCACAGTGAAACAATTCAAAGATCCTTGGGGTATCACCAAGGAACTTAGATAACAAAAGTTAAGTTTGCAACAATATTTGTATTTGTCCATTTGTATATTGTTAGGATAAGGCAGACTGCACTGACACTAAATATGTCGTTGTACCAAATAACGGAAGTTGATTATGTTTTCTTGATTATGCAACAGACATAGGAAGTTATCTTTTCAACAAATATTAAGGATTATGTGTATATTAGTTCTTGTATAGACCTAAACATGTCGGTCCATTAAAAATCATTCAATATATAGAAGCATTTTTCTTTACTATGTAAAAGATCAGGATAGTCCCAGATTTACTGGAACTCTGGATCTTCAACGTGTATGCTCTTGGTCACTTATGAGTTTTTTCCAACTCAGTCCACCTGAAGAAAGATAGAAATGGAGACGCACATACTGGACAGATTTAGAAATAGACCTGAGAGTGGCACAATGCAGTTTTGTTCACAAAGTATTGATTAGAAATCACCGATGTAGCTGCATCTAACTGCAAAGGAGACGGAGAAACATCGTTCAGGTTTGCGTGTAGAAGAAATGGAAACAGGTTTTGATGGATAGCTAGAATCTCAACCAAAATATAAAAGAAGTGTGGTGTGTTTGGCTGTTTCAAGGACAATTCATAGTGGAAGACATAAAAGCTGCAGGGTATACCTTAGGAAAGCTGGGGAATGCATGCATAATTAGTTGATAACAAATGAATATAAATAAATATAGAAATGAGCCCAAGAAGGATTAGGGCTTAGAGGGGTAATAGTCAGCTAGAATTACATGGCATTTAAAACTTATAGAGACTATTGAATACTTAATCACAATGTATACATTGTGATTTAAATTGAATATCCAAGATACCTTTGCTACATAATGTTATACAATAAAATATAGAAAATCTTACTAAGTGTTCTGTTTAAGCTAAATAATGATTTTCAGATCCATCTGGTTGGGTTATTTCTTAAGTAAGGGGACATGAGAAAAGGTATCTAGATGAATAGCTGGAGAAATGGCAGGCAGGAGCCATTGAAAGAAAATACGGAGACTCCTTGAAGAGTATGAAGTTTTTTGCCCCTTAAAGCTCGGTTCATTTTACTTATATTAAAAGGTTCCTATTAAGTACTTATAGTCTCATTGATTAATCTATTCTTTGTACTCCCAGAACACTTCACATCATCTTCTATAATATAATACATGCTTAGTTACCATGGCTTAAGTTTGGTCAGAATTTCACTTTAGTTTGTATATCAAATAAAAATAATAACACCTGCATATTCAAAATTACTGAGTACATCATGTCACTGATTCAAATTTTATTCACTTCAAAGACATTGTAAACTAACTAAAGGTATAATATGGAATTCTGCACCATACAAAGTTCTTAATACATATTTACTAAGATAATAAATTAATACACTAAGGAAAATGATTTGAAAAAATAGTTTATGTTTTAGAACTCTTAAATAAAAATAATACCTAATAACTTGTAGAAATATATTCCAACATAATGTGACTTGTTCTTCCAAAAATGTGACTTGCACCTCCCATAATGTTGCAATTCAACAAATCTGTATGAGGTCTAGAAAAAAATGAGAAAATCAGGTATAAGGGGCTTCCCAGCTAAAGAATATCAAATTGAACATTCTGGCACCTAGCTTTGTTCAAAACTCAGATGTAATATGAACTCTAGGTCTACTATTCATACATATTCTCAAACAGTTCAAAACAATACAGATAAAAATATGTTCAATTCTATTTTAAAATGAAACATACATTCATGTGAAGAGTGTTTAAAAGAATCCTCCTTCTTCCTGTTGTTTGTTAAGGTAAAATGTCAGCAATGAGCAATCAAAATGTGTTTGATGTATTTTGTATCTCAGAATACATTACTCAGAGATGTACATTTTTGGATAAGGAACTACAAATACCACCTTAATAGGTTATATATACTGTATATTGTTTTATTTAGACAAGATAACAAAATATACAAAATGCTCAACTTCATATGAAGTTGAAATATTGAACATTGTTGATATATAATATTTTATAGTTGGCAAAGTTGCATGCTTTTTACTGCCAGATATATTTAATATACTCTTTAAACTAATAATTCACCAAAGAAGTCATAATATTAAATTTTGTTTTTCTTATCATTATGTGAGGGTTTTTTTGGTTTGTATTTTGTTTTATAATGACCTAATCTCTGAATATGAAATCAATTTGTTAAAGAATTTAAAGATGTTTGGTGAACAAAGATTTTAAAAGATAGCAAAAGAGGAAATGTTTTATTACTTCAAAGTCACCTTTTTAGCAAGACTACAATAATGTCCCTTTCTCAACAGTCATTTGAAATTCTACCACTCACCAAACTAGCCCCCCTAGTTTGCTAGAAAAATTGAGACATACAAACATACATAATAAACAACTGTCTAAAAGAAGAGCCAGATGTAGGTTCGCATATGAGCTGATTATATGTACATAGATCAAAATTATACAAAATATATAGAGTGTAAAATCTTGTTCCTACCTCTGTCCCATCTGCCATGATCTCTCTCCTTTCTCTCCTCTTAGAGAAATTTCTTGTATATTATTGTCTAGAAATAAAAGTATATATGAGTTTGTAGTCTTATTTTTTATTGCACATATAAAGGTTTCCTGTATACATATATCAATACATATAGATGTAGATGTGAATTTTGATAATTCCACAGGCCAGCATCTTGCTTTTCACTTAAAATGATTCATATCAGCACTTAGAGACCCTCCGAAGTATTTATTTTAAGTAATTATACAGTACTATATTTTGCGGGCATTTCACAGTTTATTTAATCAATCTCCTATAGAGGAAAGCTAGAATTACTTGCAGTTTTTTGTTACTGCAAAAGAAAAGAGTTAAATGAACAATTGTGGACATTTTATAAGTGGGGACATTTTATAAGTGTACCGATATAGATATGGGTATAGATACTCAGAAACATAAAAGCATTTTGTCAAAGGGAGATATTTTTCTTTGGAATTTTGATCATTGTTAAAGTCTCACCAACAAAGTGTGTTGTTGTCACACTTTTGATGTTTTATCAATTTTGGAAGGTGAGAAATATTTTGATTTAGCATTAATTTGCATTTCTCTTATTATGACTGAGGTTCATATGTATTTATGAGCCATTTATATTTATTTGTTTACCATGGCATTTACTAAAAAGCTTATCTTTATCTTGCAAATGTAAGATGATGTCTTTACATTCTAAATTCACAAATACATGTAGATCTATTTAAGAACTTTCTACTTTGCAAAATTAGAAGGTTGTGTATTCATTTACCAGTACATCATTGTTTTAATTTACATGGCTTTTAGAATATGCTTTAATATTGAGTTCTCCTAGATATTCTTCTGTATTTTAGAATAATAACTTTGTGTAATTCCAGAATAAAAGGTCTCAAAGTATTATGGAGACCACATTAAATTATAAAGTAATTTAAGAATTAACTTTATTATTTTGAATCTACCTATTCAAACAAAAGATGCCTTTCCATTTGTTCAAGTCTTATTCTGTGTCCTTTAAGGGTGCTGTAGTATTTTTTTCTGTAGCAGTTTGATATCAGATCCTTAAATTTTATCCCTAGGAATTTCTTGTTGATGTTATTTAAAGTGATTTTAAATCTTTCCCATTACATCTTCTCACTGGTTGTTATTTGTATATATGAAAGATATCAATTTCTGCACACTGATTTTTCCATCAGTGTACTTACTGAATCCTCTTGTTTTATAGAAGTTGTTGAGTTGATCATTTTATATTTTTTCATTTAAAAAATATACTCCTCTGAGCCGTGCAGGGTAGGTGCACCCAGCTGCTGGGAAAGCTGAGGCAGGAGGATCATTTGAGCTAAGGAGTTTGAGACCACCCTGGGCAACATAGCAAGAACCCCTCTAAAAAACAAACGAGAAAACCCCCAATATTATCATCTGTAAATAGAAGATTTTTTTGTCTTCACTATTCGTATTTTGATATTGATTATTCCTTTCTCTTGTATAATTACACTGTAATATAATTGGCTAGTATCTTTTATAACACATTAGAGGGCACATTGGTTTTGTTCCTGAGTTTAACAGAACTTTAGAAGGACTATTTCTAGTCTTTTTCCCGCTAAGCATGATGCCAGGTTTTGGAGCAAACATATGCATACACACTGAGATATAGATGGGCCAGTTTTGTCATATATAAAAAAAATCTTATTCTTATTTTATTGAAGACATTTTTAAATCAAGATTTATTGTTAAATTTTAACAAGTGCTTTTGTAGTATCTGTGAAGATTAACATGATTTTCTCCTTGTGCTACGAACTATATTAAGCGCTCTTCTAATATGAGAATACCGGGGGTGGGGCCAAGATGGCCAACTAGAAGCAGCGTGATCAGAGGCTCCATGGAAAAGAACCATAACGTGTGCGAATCCTGCACTGGCAAACAGGGCATCCGGGTTCTGTCATCACAACTGACTAGGCAGCTGGCATGCCCCACGGAGTGGAAGGAAGAGCAGTGTGGTATGGCAGACCACCTGAGAGCCACATGGCACAGGGGAGCCTCCACCCCCAAGCCAAGGGAGGCATTGAGCGAGTGTGCGACCCAGCCTGGGAAAACGTGCTTTTTCCACAGAACTGTGCAACCTGCAGATTGAAAGATCCCACTCATGAACCCACGACACGGGGACTGAGAGTCCCAACCACAGAGCCACGCCAATTCTCAACAGCCACTAAGCTAGAATCTGCTTGAGCCTGCCCCGACCAGCACCACAGCTGCGGCTACCTGCTGTCTAAGCCATTTGATCTCCTTGAGGGAGGGAAAACAGCCAACACTGGGACTGACAGTCTCCTAACACACTAAGCTCCCAGGGTAGTGGAAGGGCAGCAGCCATCTCTATAGCTCCAGGCCACACTTTTCCTCTGCTGGAGTAGGAAGCTGGATGGCCTGGTCCCAGAGGTATCCCCCACAGCCCAACACACCAGCTGAGGCAGACTGTGGACAGAGTGCCTCTTCAGGCCTGACCTTAACCCATCTGTCCTCACTGGGTGGGGCCTTGCAGGAACTTCAACAACTCCAGCCAGGGGCTCAGAGACAGAACTTTGATCTCCCTGGGCCTGAGCCCCTGGGGGAGGAGTGGTTGCAGTCTCAGCAGACCAGCAGGGTAAGTGTTTCCTCCTGCTGATTCTGAGAAATCCAGGCAGCCCAGACAAGGGGGTTTCCCCCCAGTGAAGCACACCCCCTCCACCAAGGGACAGTCAAAGTACTTTATTAAATGGGTCCTGCTCCCTGTGCCACCCAACTGGGTGAGACCCTCCAACAGGGGTTTTCAGACACTCCATACAGGAGCATTTCTACTGGCATCAGGTCGGTGCCTCTTGAGGTCAGAGAACCCAGAGGAAGAAGCAGGCACCCATCTTTGCTGTTCTCCAGACTCCTGGAGTGATCTCTCCAGGTGCTGGAGCAAACCAGATGAATAGGGCCTGAAGTGAACCCCCCAGCAAACCACAGCAGCCCTACAACAGAGGGTCCTGAGCATTGAAAGAAAAATAAACAGAAAGCAACAACAGCATCAACGAAAAAAGTCCCCACAAAAACCCCATCCAAGGGTCAGCAGTCTCAAAGATCGATGCTAGAGAAATTCATGAAGATGAGAAAGAATCAACAAAAAAATGCTGAAAACCCAAAAAGCCAGAGTGCCTCTACTCTTCCAAATGATTGCAATGCCTCTCCGGCAAGGATGCAGCACTGGACAGAGGATGAGATGGATGAATTGGCAGAAGTAGGCTTCAGAAAGTTGGTAATAACAAACTCTGCTGAGCTAAAGGAGCATGTTCTAACCCAATGCAAAGAAGCTAAGAATCCTGATAAAAGGTTACAGGCGCGGCTAACTAGAATAACCAGGCTGGAGAGGAACATAAATGACCGAACGGAGCTGAAAAACATAGCACGTGAACTTCGTTAAGCATACACAAGTATCAATAGGTGAATCAACCAAGCAGAAGAAAGGATGTCAGATTTTGAAGATCCTCTTGCTGAAAAAAAGGCATGCTGATAAGATTACAGAAAAAAAGAATGAAAAGGAATGAACAAAACATCTGAAAAATATGGGACTATGTAAAAAGACTGAACCTATGATTGATTGGAGTACCTGAAAAAGACAGAGAGAATGGAACCAAGCTGGAAAACACACTTCAAGATATTATCCAGGAAAAATTCCGCAACTTAGCAAGACAGGCCAACATTCAAATTCAGGAAATACAGAGAACACCAGTAAGATAGTCCATGAGAAGATCAACCCCAAGACACATAATTGTCAGATTTTCCAAGGTCAAAATGAAGAAATAAATGTTAAATGCAGCCAGAGAGAAAGACCAGGATACCTACAAAGGGAAGCCCATCAGACTAACAGCAGACCTCTCAGCAGAAAACCTACAAGCAAAAAGAGAGTGGGGGCCAATATTCAACATTCTTACAGAAAAGAATTCTCAACCCAGAATTTGTGCAAAATAAATGGATAGTATCATGATGACAGGATCAAATTCACACATAACAATAATAATCTTAAATGTGAATGGACTAAATGCCCCAGTTAAAAGACACAGACTGGCAAATTGTATAAAGATTCAAGACCCATCGATGTGCTGTATTCAGGAGACCCATCTCACATGCAAGGACACAAAGAGGCTCAAAATAATGAGATGGAGGAAAATTTACCAAGCAAATGGAAAGCAAAAAAAAAAAAAAAAAAAAAAAGCAGGGGTTGCAATCCTAGTCTCTGACAAAACACACTTTAAACCAACAAGGGTCAAAAAAGACAAGGCCATTACATAATGGTAAAGGGATTAATTCAACAAAAGGAGCTAACTATAAATTGACAGAAGTAGGCTTCAGAAGGTTGGTACTAACAAACTCTGCTGAGCTAAAGGAGCGTGTTCTAACTCAATGCAAAGAAGCTAAGAAATTCTACTATTATTTTTGAAAAGTAATCCTAATTAATTAAATATTGGTTTTATTAAATGTATATTGACTATGTACAATGATCTAGGTACTATAAGAAATATCCGGCCGGTCACAGTGGCTCACGCCTGTAATCCCAGCACTTTGGGAGGCCGAGGCGGAAGGATCACAGGGTCAGGAGATCGAGACCATTCTGGCTAACATGGTGAAACCCTGTCTCTACTAAAAATACAAAAAAAAAAAAAAAAAAAAAATTAGCCGGGCGTGGTGGTGGGTGCCTGTAGTCCCAGCTACTCAGGAGGCTGAGGCAGGAGAATGGCGTGAACCTGGGAGGTGGAGCTTGCAGTGAGCCGAGATCACACCACTGCACTCCAGCCTGGGTGTCAGAGCGAGACTCTGTCTCAAAAAAAAAGAAAGAAAAAAAGAAAAAAGACATTTCAGAGATACCTAGAGGATGAAGGAGAACGGGGAGGGGGGTCGGGAATGAAGAAGAAAACATAAGAACACTCCTCCATGGAGTTATCCAATAGTGGGGATTCATAAAATTGTTTACTAATTTGCTATGTGAGAGTTCTGAAATGCCCATGTTCTACAGTTATTTGGAGTATTTCAACAAAATAACTAGTCTGATCTGGTGGTAGATATAGAATCCTTTTCTCCTATTCTTGGCTGTGCAAGTAAGCTATACTTTAGGCTCCCTTACAGTTACAGTGGCCATTTGACTCTGTTTTAGCCAGCGGACTATAAGATGATTTGAGATGTTCCACTTTTGTGCCTAGTATATAAAATTTCTTATGCCCCCTTTCTGTACTCTTTCCTTTTCTGTCTGATAGATGCAGACTATAATGAGGTCCCAGGGGATGGAAAAGACACAGATGAAATCAGCATGAGTCTCTGAATGCTCATGTAGTGAAGCGCCCCTGACAATCTCAACACCCTCCCAGGGAGCTCACATCAGCAAAATGTTAACTTCTATGTGACTAAACCACTAAAATTGTGGTGTCTGTTTTTTAGTCCAACAAGCCTGATCCACAGGGTCTGTGTTTTTAAGAATTAAGCATGTTAAAATGGTGCCAAACAGTATAAAATTGGATAATTAGAGAAAAAGGAAACATTAACACTATATCCTCCTAAAACAATAAGGATAGTAACAGAGCCCGTGGGTTAATGTATGACCCATAGACAAGAGCAGGGTGCTCAGATTATCTATTGCTGTAGAACAAATTATTATGAAACTCAGCAACTTAACCACAATAACATTTTGTTCTATCTTATTACTGCTTAACATTTGAGGGTCAGGAATTGAGGTAGAAATCAGCTGAGTGAGATGTGTCATTGACTGAAATTGTAATGGTAGGTGGGGGATTACTTCATTTATATGTCTTGTGCCTTGGTGAAAAATGGCTCTAAGACTGGGCTCTGTTGAGACTATGGACTGGGAGGACAAGCATGGAACTTCTCCCCAGATCTTGGAGTACTCTAACTTCTTAAACTGTAGCTCAGGCCTCCCACAGAGTGTTTTAATAGATGTGCTTGAAATCTGCAATGTTTTATGTGATCTGGCCCCAGAAGTTTCAGCTCAATTTCAAAGGCAGGAAAATTGGATCCCACCTTTCATTGGAAAATGTGGCAAATAATTTGCAGTCACCTTTAATCTAAAGCTGAACAACTCTTTTTGACAATCTGGAAAAATATTAATTGATACAGTGTAGGTTTGTTTTTAGAATCTCTTGGGGAAAAGTTGAGGAATTTCTACAGATTATTGACTCTGTAACATAGGACTGTGAGATACCATTCCTGAGGGCTTTTGGAGAGGCTATAGGTTACTAGGCATGCTGGTTCCAGTTCTCTCGGAAGCAGGCACCAAGATGGAATTGGATGTGTAAATGATTTATTTAGGGAAGATTCTGTGAGGGACAAAGGGCAGAAAGAACAGGAGTTAGCAGGGAGAGCTTTAGACCCAATGCAGGTCTGCCAATCAGTAAAGAAGATTTTTGCTAAAAAAGGAAAGAAGACTGAGTAGATGGAAGCTTATACTGAAGTGCAGCTCTGAGGCAATCTCAACCAGGATGAAGGGGAGTCACAGGGCATAGTGTGCATTTGAGGGGTCCTTCAGAAATAGAGTTCTATTTCCTCTACCATGTTCAATCAACACGTGAGAATGACCCAGGAAGGAGAATATAGCCTGTTTGTGAATGCTATGAGGAATTCAAAGTTGTCACAGCTAGAGTCACTAATCCAACTGCATTCCTTATGGTGGGTCTTTCCTGAAGCAAGATGTGAGCAGTACACTTCCATATCTACACATTAGACTTGAGAGTATTAGGTATAAAAAATGGTCGTGGAGAATGGGAGAGTTGACTCACAACGCATAGTAATGACTTCCATAATTGATACACCTGGGCTTAGTGTCCATAAATTTTGAGTGTATAGATGTCCTATGAGTATTTCTGGCTCAGCTGACTAGGTTGAACATTTAACTCTTATTTCCTTTCTTCCTCCTTCCTTTAGTGCTCTTTGTCTTTTATAAATTATTATGCAATTGATTCAATTGCATCAATAAGGAAGAAAGAATTGAATAATTTTAAAGCATATATTCAGATGATTTAAAAAATACTTCCCCTTTTTTTTGACTAATCGGATTATCTACTGTAAACATTCATGTACACGTTCCTTGGAACAAATGGTCAACTCTTCTGGGTGGGAATACACTAGTGAGTAAAATTTTCAGGTCATAGGGAATGTATATGCTCAAGTTTAAATATTAAGGAAAACGTTTTCCAAAATATTTTAGTAATTCCCAATCCCATCTGCAGAAACTGAGAGTTTCTATTGCTCTACTTTTTTGCTAATATTTGATATTGTCATTTGCTTGTTGTTTGTTGGTTTTGTTCATTTTTTTGTTTTGTTTTGTTTTTCTATTCTGTGGGATATATAGTAGAATTTAATTATGCTTTAATGTGAATTTTTATGATTACTAAAAGGAAAGATAATCTTACCTGTTTTTATTGGAGATTTGAATATCCTTTGTTACAAATAAAAAACAATGTACTATAACAACTATTTACATAGCCTTTACATTGCAATAAGTATTATAAGTAACCCAAAGATGATTTAAAGTATATGGGAGCATGTTCATCGCTTATTTGCAAATACTACACCATTTTATTTAAGGGACTCAAGCATCAGTGGATTTTGGCATCTATATGGGGTACTGGAACCAATCTTACTTAGATACCGAGGAATAGCCATATTGTAAATACCTCCACTGACCTGTGGCTTGCATTTTCACATCTTAAATATCTTTTGATAAATTTCTATCCGTGTTGAAATTGATAAATAAATTGGGATATATTCATATGAGAATTCTATACAGTAATAAAAATGAATAATCAGCAGTTAATTGCAAAACATGCATGGATCTCAAAAACATATTTATAAAGAAAATAGTCTAACAAAAATAAAATATCCTTTATGATCCTCTTTCTTACATGTTACAAAACAGGCAAAGATAACCCATGCTTTTAGAAGTCAGGGTTGTGATTGGGCTATGGAAGAGGCTTCTGGGGTTCTGGCAATTTTTTTTTATTTGATTCAAGTTGTATTTACATAATTGTCTGCTTTTTCAATAACTGAGTTGTACAAATTCTGTTCTGTGTACATTTTAGGTATGAAATATATACTATATCTCACCTTTAAGAAAATATTAGAAATGTAAATTGTTAATTTTACCAAGAAAATGCAAAAAATACTAAGAAAAAGCATTCTTAATGCACTGTGTATTTCAAGGGAGTCTTAGTGAAGAAGAATACAACAAAACACAATAAACTCAGAGAATTATTGCATCAACTTACATTTTGTTATCATCTATGATGTTACCATAGAATTATTTTGTATCCCGTAGGATGCTTTCAGTTCTATGCTAAAAAGTCAAACTCGAATTTGTCTGAACAAGGAAAATTAACGTCTTGGTAAGAAGTTCAGGTCTAGAGAACTTTCAGAGCATGTTGAATGCATTGCTATAGACTGAATTTTTATGCCCTTCTCCCACCAGATTAATAAGTTGAAACTGTAATCCCCAGTGTAAGATGAAGCCTTTGAGGGGTAATTAGGTCCTGGGAGTGAAGCCCTCATGATAGGATTACTGGTCTTATTGGAAAAGACAGGGGAGCTCTCTCTCTCTCACTCTCTCTCTCTCTCTGCCATGTCAGGCTATAAGGAGAAGAAAGTTGCCTGAAAACCAGGAGGAGTACTCGCACCTGAGGCTTGATCTGCTGATGCCTCAGTCTTGGACTTCCCAGCCTCCAGAATTCTGAGAAATAAATGATTTCTGATGAAACCACATAGTCTATAGTAATTTACTATTGCAGTTAGAAATAAGATATTATGATTCAATAAAGGCTTCAGGGACCCAGATTGCAAAATCTTTCTGTTTTTCTATCTTGTATAGGATTGTCTGAGACTGGTCCATCTGTGTCAAATATAGTAATATCTAGACCATACAATATTCTGAGTTTTAAAAGGGGCTCCCTCTCAATCAATGAGAGCAGAGGCACATTTGCTAGAAGCCCCTCAGAAGTTTCTGTTAGTCTCATTTGGCAAAATTGTATCACATGATATAGGTTAAACCAATGATTGGTAAGGGGAACAGAAACATTATGATTGACTTACATCAATCAAGACCCAACTCTGGGCTTGAGATGTGCATTGCAGTTGTGAATTATTAACCACAGAGGAGAGAAAAGATTCCATTTAGAAACAGAGAGAGGTTAAAAAAAAAAAAAAGAAACAACTGGGTGGATACAAAGAAGGAAGGAAGGAAGGTAGGAAGGAAGGAATTAAAGAAGATAATTAGTTTGTCATAAGAAGATACCAGATTGGGTGGTTTAAATGACAGAAATTTATTTTCTCACAGTGTTGGAGGCCAGAAATCCCAGATCACAGTGCCCTTGGGGTTGGTTTCTGGTGAGGGTTCTTTTTTCTCTGGTGTCTCTTCCTCTTCTTATAAAAACACCAATCCTATCAGATTAGGGGGCTCACTCTTATGACCTCGTTTATCCTTAACTGCCTTCCTGAAGGCCCTACCTACAAATACAGTCACTTTGGAGATTACGGCTTCAAAGTAGCAATTTGGGGGGACACAATTCACTTCATAATAGGAAGAAAGAAGGATGAAAGGAAGGAAATAAGAAGTGAGATTGTAGATATAATACAGCATATATGCCTTGCCAATTTCATTTTCCAAGAAGAGGAGCTATATATATTTACAAAGGCAAAAATAGAGTAAATACACCATTGATAGTTTTTACATAAAGCTAAGTGGTGGCAATATGGGTGATTACCATACAGACAGTATATAGATCATTACATGATGTACTACGAAGTTAAAGGACTCTTACAGTGCCCTTTAGATCACGTTTTTTGGTTTTCTTCTGCCTTGTATATTTTACAGTGTATATACATATATACATATTGTGTGTGTATATATATATATACACAATTTTGTATATATATACACAATTATATATATATATACACAATTTTGTATATATATACACAATTATATATATATATACACAATTTTATATATATATATATATTAGTTTTCTTCTGCCTTGTAACACGCTGTACAGGTTTATAGCCTAGGAGCAATAGACTGTGTACCATATAGCCTAGGTGGCTATATCATGATTATGATCATGCATAAATTAACAGTTGAGATACTTACATTCTGACAAATATATCCGTAGGCAATTACATCTTTGTGTGAACATCAGAGTGTACTTACACAAACCTAGATGTTATAGCCCACCTAGGCTATATGGTATACAGCCTATTGCTCCTAGGCTATAAAACTGTACAGCATGTTAATGTACTGGATACTGAAGACAATTATAATACAAAGTTAAGTATTTGTGTATCTAAACATAGAAAAGGTAGGGTAAAAATGTGGTAGAAAAGATTTTAAAATGGTGCATCTGTAAGGGCACTTACCGTGAATAGAGTTTGCAGGACTGAAAGTTGCTCTGTGTGAGTTGGTGGGTGAGTGGTGAGTAAATGAGAAGGGCTGGGAGCACAGTGGGTTTGTTTACACCAGCACCACCACAAACACGTGAGTAATGCGTTGTGCTATGACACTAGGATGGCTATGATGGCACTAGGTGATGGGAAATTTGTAGCTGCCTTTGTGATCTTATTGGCCCATTGTTACATAGGCAGAGTCCATTGTTGGCCGAAGCATCGTTATCTGCACATGACTGGAATGTGCTTTACTCTCCCTTTGAAATATGAATTTCTTTTCTAGTGATTTATATTTTTTTTATAAAATCAAATTCAGTTTGCATATATTAAACCACTATCATTTAAAATATTGGCTATATTATCAACCATTAAACAGATTTATGGTTGTTTTACTTTTTCAAAGTAAGTCTGTTCTCATTTTTCATACCACGATCAGCAATCATTTAAAATTTTTTATTATTCAGTCTCAGAAAGTATAGTTACATTATATTTATAATATATGTAATAGCCATAAGTCACTCAAATGGTTCATGATTTTAACATTCATTTTATAATGGTTTGACTAGTTTATACAGATTTAACTCTTTGAAGGTAGAAGCCAAAGCAATCATTGATGATTTTTAAACAAAGGCCATGAATACAATGTCCATTTAATAAAACAAGCAATGCTAAACAATGCAAAAAATAGCAAAAAGTAACTCAGTAAATTTGCACAAACTTAACATACACAATAGTAATAAAATATTTTCATCACTGTAAGAACTCTGATTTATATATTAATTTTTTCAACAGAATTATTATACATCATTCTGCTAAAAGGTATCGAGCATAAATGGAGCACTAAGAATACAAAAATAAAGATAAAATCAGTCCTGTTCTCAAGGAGCTTAATCTAACAAGACAAACAACTGAATCCACTGTGCTATTCCAAAGTGCAGACATTATTTAAAAGAAGCAAGAAGAGCTCAAAAAGAAGGAGCAATGAATTCTATTACGGGGATTGGGAAGAGACCTTGACAGGGTCTGTGGTAACTTGGCTCAGTGTTAGGAGACAAGATTTTCCAGGTAGTATAAAGAATAGTGTAAAGTATTTAAATATATGAAAGTTTATGGCTTTTTGCTACAACTAATTTTTCATCTTTTGAAATAACCTGTAGTATATTCTAAAAGTGTTTGGAACTCTGTCTAGTTAATACACTACACATATGTATATTTTGATATGAGTTCTACACTATTTAAAAATCACATAAATTTTTCTAACATGCAAAAGAGTAAATATCCATAATTTGATGACTCCTACTTATTTATTTATTTATTTATTTATTTATTTTGAGATGGAGTCTCACTCTGTCACCCAGGCTGGAGTGCAGTGGCGTGATCTCAGCTCACTGCAAGCTCTGCCTCCCGGGTTCACACCATTCTCCTGCCTCAGTCTCCCGAGTAGTTGGGACTACAGGCGCCCACCACCACACTCGACTAATGTTTTGTATTTTTAGTAGAGATGGGATTTCACTGTGTTAGCCAGGATGGTCTCGATCTCCTGACCTCATGATCCGCCCGCCTCGGCCTCCCAAAGTGCTGGGATTACAGGGATGACTCCTACTTATATATAATATGTACTGTATAAATTATTTTATGACTTTATAAAATCAGACATTGAGAGAGTTCTAATTTCATAAATTAATACAACCATTAGGTGATACTAGCATCACTCATAAATTAGATCACAAAACAACTTTTTTTCCTCCGTGTTGCTTTAAAATATACTCAGTAGAAATTTTCTTCACTGCCCTGAATGAAAACTCGGGTGGTTTCAGGATTTTTCCAATCCCATGTCATGTTCTCACATTATACATGAAAACTTCATCTCATTTCAAAAGTTGAGTATGGCTTCATTATAATAATGAAAGCTTTGAAAGTGATTTTAAATATATCTACTCTCCTCAGCTCACACTACTGCAGAAAGGGATTATTTGATCAGAGAAGGCCTTCGCTTCTGCTTCTGGCATCTTCTTTCATTACTTTTTTTTTATTATTTTTTTTCTCTATAGTTGCTTAACTACAGTTTCTGAGAAATGAGAGTGAAGGGAGACATAAAAAGGGGAACAGAAAAGTTCTTATTTGTATCACTGATGTTTAATTGCTATTGAGAGCTTTATTTTAATTGACTTGCTTTGTAAAGCCATCTGAAGCAATTGATTTTGTATATTTATGTTATAGCAGACCACCTTACTGAAAATTCTTACAAATCTACCAAAATATCAGATCATTCTCTTGGTTCATTCAAACCTGAAGTAATACATTAGCATGAAGATAATTATTCAATAAAGATGTTTATGTCTATTCCATTGTTTTTAAAATTTAAAGTATACACATGAGGTATTGATATTCATATCTATAGTGAAATTATTACTACAGGTCAGCAATTTAGCATATCCATTATCTTCCATAGTTAGCATTTTTTATGTGTGGTAACAGCACTTAAAATCTGCTCTCTTTGCAAACTTTGAACATACAATACAATATTATTAACTATAGTCTTACTGTTTGCATTGGTCCATTCTCACATTGCTGTAAAGAACTACCTGAGATTGGGTAATTTATGAAGAAAAGGGGTTTAATTTACTCTCAGTTCCACATGGCTGGGAGGCCTCAGGAAAGTTATGATCATGGCAGAAAGTGAAAGGTAAGCAGACACAGTCTTCACATGACCAGAGCAGGAGAGAGAGAGAGAGAGAGAGCAAAGGAGGGAAAAGCAACGGTTTTGTTTTGTTTTGTTTTTGAGGCTGAGTCTTGCTCTGTCGCCAGGCTGGAGTGTAGTGGTGCAATCTTGGCTCACTGTAACCTCTGCCTCCCAGGTTCAAGCGATTCCCCTGCCACAGCTTCCTGAGTAACTGGGACTACAGGCACGTGCCAGCACACCTGGCTAATTTTTTGTATTTTAGTAGAGACAGAGTTTTACCATGTTGGCCAGGATGGTCTCGATCTCCTGAACTTGTGATCTGCCTGTCTCAGCCTCCCAAAGTGCTGGGATTACAGGCGTGAGCCTCCATGCCCAGTGGCTACACACTTTTAAACAACCGGATCTCATGAGAACTCAATGACTATCACGAGTATAGCAAGAGGAAGATCCACTGTCATGATCCAATCATCTCCCACCATGTTCCTCACTCAATATTGGGAATTACAATTAGACATGAGATTTGAGTGGGGGCACAGAGCCAAACCATATCACTCTGCCCCCAGCCTCTCCCAAATTTTATGTCCTTTTCACATTTCAAAACACAGTCATGCCTTCCCAACAGCTCCCCAAAGTCTTAATTCATTCCAATGTTAACTCAAAAGTCCAAGTCCAAAGTCTCATCTGAGACAAGGCAAGTCCCTTCTGCCTATGAGCCTATAAAATCAAAAACATATCAGTTACATCCTAGACACAATGGGGTTACAGGCATTTGGGTAATTCTCCCATTCCACAAGGGAGAAATTGGAGAAAACAAAAGGGCTTACAGACCCCATGCAAGTCTGAAACTCAGCAGGGCAATAATTAAATCTTAAAGTTCCAAAGTAATTTCCTTTGATTCCATGTTTCACAACCAAGCCACCCTGATGCAAGAGGTGGGCTCCCTAGGCCTTGGAAACAACTCTGCCCCTGTGGCCCTGCAGGGTAAAGCCCCACCACCACAGCTGCTTTCAGGGGCTGGCATTGAGTGCCTGTGTCTTTTCCAGGCACACAACACAAGCTGTTGGTGGATCTACCATGCTGGCATCTAGAAGATGGTGGCCCTCTTCTCACAGCTCCACTAGGCAGTAACCCATTGGGGACTCTGTGTGGGGGCTCCAACCCCACATTTCCCCTCCGCACTGCCCTAGTAGAGGTTCTCCATAAGGGCTCTGCCCCTGCAGCTGACTTCTGCCTGGACATTCAGGCATTTCTCTACATTCTCTGAAATTGAGGCAGAGGTTTCTAAACCTCAAGTCTTGCCTTCTGTGCACTGGCAGGTCCAACACCACGTGGAAGCTGCCGAGGATTGGGGCTTGCACCCTCTGAAGCAACAGCCAGAGCTATACCTTGGCCCATTTTAGCCATGGCTGAAGCTAGAGCAGCTGGGATGCAGGGCACCATGTACTGAGGCTGCGCCAAACAAACAGCAGCCCTGGGCCTGGCTCACAAAAACATTTTTCCCTCCTAGGCCTTTGGGTCTGTGATGGGAGGGGCTGCTGTGAAGGTCTCTAAAATGCCCTGGAGGCATTTTCCCCATTGTCTTGGGTATTAACATTCAGTTCTTCTTTACTCATGCAAATTTCTGCAGCCTGGAATTCCTCCTCAGAAAATGGGTTTTTCTTTTCTACCACATGATTGGGCTGCAAATTTCTCAAACTTTTATGTTCTGCCTGTCTTTTAAATATAAGTTCCTGTTTCAGATAATCTCTTTGTTTATGCAATTGATTTGTTTGTGCAAATTGAGTATAGGCTTTTAAAAGCAGCCAGACTACATCTTAAATACCTTGCTGTTTAGCAATTTCTTACACCAGATACCCTAAATCAGTTCTCAAATACACAATTCCACAGATCGCCAGAGCAGGGGCACAATGTCCCAGTCTCTTTGCTACCAAATCGCAAGAGTGACATTTATTCAAGCTCCCAATAAGTTCTTCATCTCCATCTGAGACCACCTCAGCCTGGACTTCAATGTCCATATCGCTATCAGCATTGTTGTCACAACCATCCAAGAAGTCTCTAGGAAGTCTCAAACTTTCCCTCATCTTCCTATCTTCTTCTGATCCCTCCAAACTGTTCCAACTCCTGCCCATTACCAACTTCCAAAGTTGCTTTCACATTTTCAGGTGTCTTTATAGCAATGCCCCACTCCCAGTACAATTTTTTGTATTAGTCTATTCTCACACTGGTATAAAAAAACTACCTGAGACTGGGTAATTTATGAAGAAAAGAGACTTAATTGACTCACAGTTCCATGTGGCTGTGAGACCTCAGGAAACTTACAGTCATGGCTGAAGGTGGAGGGGAAGCAGTAGTGGTCTTCACGTGGCCAGAGCAAGAGAGAGACAGAGCAAAGGAGGAAGTACTACACAGTTTTAAACAGGCAGATGTGATGAGAACTCACTCAGTATCGTGAGAACAGCAAGGGGGAAATCTGCCCTCAATATCCAATCATCTCCCACCAGGTCCCTCCCCCAACACTGGGAATTACAACTCAACATGGGATTTGGGAGGGGACACAAAGCCACAATTTGAGTGGGGACCCAGAGCCAAACCTTAGCACTGTTGTACATTAGATTGCTAGACTTCTTTATCCAATTTAACTACAAGTTTGTACTCTTTGACTTACTTCTCCCCGTTTCCTTCCCTTTCTTGTCCCTGGTACCCACCATTCTACTCTCTGTTTCTATGTGTTGAACTTTTTTTTTGTAGATTCCACATGCAAGTGGATCACCTCAAACCAATAGAATGGCTATTATCAGGAAGTCATCAGATAACAAGGGTTGGCGAGAATGTAGAGAAAGGGGAACCCTTGTGCCCTGTTGGAAGAAATGTAAATTCGTACAGCCATTATGAAAAACAATAAGGAGGTACCTCAAAATATTAAAATATAATTCTATAATTATTTTATGATCTGGAAATGCCTTTCTTGGGTATATACTCAAAGGAAATGAAAGCAGTGCCTCAAAGGGGTATCTGCACCCCCATGATCACAGGAATGTTATTCATAATAGCCAAGACATGGAGACAGCCTAAGTGTCCATTGGCTGATGAATGGACACAAAAATTCGCTCTTCCATTGTGATGTTTATATGTTGTTCATTTCTATGTCCTAAAGTGTTGTGTAGAAACTGCAGGAAAATATTGAATAGTAGGGGATTTTGAGAATCCATGTTTTGTTCTTGATTTTACTGTAAATGTTTGTAATGTTTTACTATTTATTATAATGTTTGCTATAGAATTTGAAGATATCTTTTCTCATATTATATAATAATAGTATAGGTATATCTAGTTCTTAAAATGAGTTCTGATTTTGTTGTGGGACTCATGAGACTGGGGAGACCAATAGGTGGAACAGGAGGATTTTTATTGAGTGCACACAGACGCAGCATATTAACATCCAAAGACTGGATCCAGAACAAAGACAGCACTTGACTTTTACACACACTTCTAAAAGGGGGTGGGCTAGCTTGAAACAAGCTTACAGTGGCATGAAGCTTAGTGATGTGAAAGCCAGGATACAAAGGCAGAACAAAGGCAGTTAATTAAACTGTGACAGGTTCATAACTCAGGATTACATAGGACTCTTGCTATGCGGCCCAGATGGCTGTTATCTAGGCCTGCTCTAGTGCCTTGCACGGACTTATAACCTTCACTAAGGTGCTTGGATGGCTGCAATCCAGGCCTGCTCAGGTGTCTCATGACCTTTGCTGTGCTGCTCACAAAAAATGGAATACTTGAAGTTACTGGTTGCAGAAAACAGGAATCTATAAACTCATATCATAAAATAAAGGAAAATTTGTTTTTCATACTTCTTTTTCTCTTTTTAATTTCATTGTTCTTTTTAGTTTCCACCTCAGTTTTTCTTCTCTTATTAGTATGAGAGCTTATCAAGGGAAATGGAATATAAAAGGAAGAGGAGGGAGTGGAGAAGTGTCACAGTAAAACTGAATGGGGCGTGAGCTTTGTCCCTCTATAGCTAAGCAATGGTGAGTTTAGAAGGGAGATGACAGCAGAAAACAATGATTAATATGGCGAGTTTCCATTTCCTCTAACTACTCTTCGAAATGGATCATTGATAATGAAGCATTGCTTTAAAAACATCTAAAGAAGTGTTGGAGATATTGGATCCAGTGCACTGGTTCTCAAGTCTTTGACCCAGTACAACATTGATTATGGTACAGAAATAGAGTGAGATGAGATGAGGCTTCGTCAGATTCTAAAGCCCAGCACCTAGGTGCACATGGCCTACCTACAGTGTGAATGGATATAGGCGTTTCTGCTTACACCAGTGAGAAAATATGCACTTTCTGAGATGACCTTTGGGTGCCCAGAGGCCTAGTCAGAGAGAAGAGGATGCAGAAATAGTATGACAGTGGCCAGGGCATGCACTCACATGCCGTATGCTAACATAAATCTCAAAATTCCCAGTGGAATCAGTCGCACTTGAGAGTCCCCAGCCCAGAAAATGGCCAAATGGAATCTGGAGCAAAGGGTGAGAATTTGTAAGATACTAAGGGAATCCAATCAGAAATCTTCTCTGCTTCCACAATGATAGAGTGAACATCCTCATACACCAGGTGCTCTTTGGAGAAGTGGCATTTTGAAAGCATTTAACTCAGGTAACAGAATCACCAAAAAGACTATATATTTATTTATTTATTTATTTATTTAGAGACAGAGTCCCACTCTGCTCCCCAGGCTGGAGTGCAGTGGCACCATCTAAACTCACTGCAACCTTTGCCTCCTGGGTTCAAGCAATTCTCGTGCCTCAGCCTCCCGAGTAGCTGGGACTACAGGCACTTGCCACTATGCCCAGCTACTTTTTGTATTTTTAGTAGAGACAGGGTTTTGCCATGTTGCCTAGGCTTGTCTCTAACTCCTAACCTCAGCTGATCTGCCACGTAGGCCTCCCAAATTGCTGGGATTACAGGTGTGAGTCACCAAGCCTAGCCCAAAAAACTTTTAAATTCAGCAACAAATAGGAATCTGAACCTTGAATACTACATATGTTGACAATTTAAACAGAAAAAGGATAGTTGAACTGGAAAAGACCAAAATATTACTGATTTAAAAGTGTAAATTTGCCCATTGATCAGTCAGGTAGAAACCTTTCTTTGTATACCTGATTGTAATTTGAATGAATCTGTGATATTCATTGCTAAATATTACTCCTGTTTCTTTGACAGAAATGTTGATTTTATAAGAAGGCTGTTCAGCATCTTTTGATAGTATGTTGTTTCCCCATTTTAATCTATTAACATGGACTTATGACTTTCAATTATTTTTGACTCAGAATCCCTTTATGCCTTTAAAGTTATTGAACAACCCAAAGACCTTTTATTTATGTGGGTTATATCTATCAATATTCACCATATTAGAAATTTAAAAGAGAATCATTTATTTTTCACTTAAAATAACAATAATAAACATATTACTCATTAACTTAAAAACATTTCTGTTTAATATAACTCTATTTAGGAAAACAAAAAATATTGAGAAGAATGACACTATTTTACATTTTTTTCAAATATTTAATGGTTGATTAGATTCTTCTCTTTTTTAAGAGATAAGCTGGAGGGCAGTGACGTAGTCATAACTGACTGCTGCCTCAAACTCCTGGGCTCAAACTATCCTTCTACTTCAGCCTCCAAAGTAGTGGAATGTCAGGCATGCACTGCTATGCCCAGCTAATTTTTAAATTTTTTTGTCAAGACAAAGTCTCACTATGTTACCCAGGCTGACCTTGAACTCCTGGCTTTCAGAGATCTTCCCACCTTGGCCTCCCAATGAAGTCTTATATTTGCTACTGAATTTGATGTCTTGCTTCACATACCCTCTGGAAACTTCACTCTCTATACTCATAAGAGAATGAAAGAGATAAAGACATGTAACATCTTGACATCATTATCAAAATGCTTTTGATGTCACTGAGCCACTGAGATGGTGTCCATTTATGGTTTATGGCTCTACATAGAGATTGTCAAAATATCAAAAACCTCTGTAACGTTTTGTACATGTTTATCATCCTGAGTCTCTTGGGTGTTCATCCCATTCCCTAGCCCAAACTCTGGTTTCTCCACTCTACTTCCCTTATTCACACATAATACATCATCTAAAGCAAGCTTGTCCAACCCAGGGTCCATGGGCCACGTGCAAGGCAAGTTTCCTTTGAATGCAGCCCAACACAAATTTGTAAACTTTCTTAAAACATTATAGCTCATCAGCTATCATTAGTGTTAGTGTATTTTACCTGTGGGCTAAGGTAATTATTTCTTCCAATGTGGCCCAGGGAAGCCAAAAGATTGGACATCCATGATCTAAAGTGCACCTTGTAGCCATGGTTCTTTAGGACTCCAGTCCACTCAGGGTGGTGTGCTATGAGATGCAGTCATCTCCCTGGATATCCCACCTACTGTATTGCTGGGTGCTGCTTGCCAACCCTACCATACTTAGGTTACTGTTACATTGTGGAAGTATTCATAATCTCAGATAAGCAATAAATATATATTTGGGGTTGACATTTTTCAGATGATGGGGCTGAGCATTGACTATTTTATTATGCTAGCATAAACACAGGAGGAACTAAAGCCATGAGTTTTTATTTTCAAATATCCATATAAAGTAGTTCTGTTTTTCCAAGACTGTGGGCCTTTTCTTGTTTAAGGGCTGTGTGTTTGGTACACTAAGTTAGAAAAATATTTATGAAATCAGCACTCTGTAAAGAAAATCTGGCTCCTGTGATAGGAAAAGCACAGTTTCAGATGCCAAATCCTGCAGTGGAAGGCTAGAGAGTTGTTATATATTTTCATAGAGCCTGAGGGATGTTTTGCTTCATATTAGCTTATATTCATATGAAGTTAATGATGCATGAGAATTCCATAAAGTTTCTTTTGGGTAAAATTTGATGATTGCCTTCAGAAGAAATTAATTTAACTAAATTTTGACAACTTAAACATAACAGCTTCTCTTAACGAAGGCAGTAAGTCTTCCACTGCATGTAGCAGATATTCAGAATGTGTCAATTATAATTTAAACTATTAAATTGCTGCAATTTTCAGATTTAAACAGCAATCCCTCACCCAACCACATGAGGATTTACTGTTTCTCAATATTGTCAGTTAATTTCTTAAAGTCAAATCCTCAAAAAAATTATTAGCATAGACTAAATTGAAGAAATTTAGGCATAGCATTCACCTCAACCAGAAAGAAGCCACAGAACTGGAAGGAACTTAAAATGGTTTTAAAGTAGAAAATTAAACTTTTTGTATCACTGAGTCCTTTAGGAAACTGATGAAGTCATTGATTGCTATCTCCAGAAAAGAAAAAAGCAAATCGACGAAATGCTGCATAAAATATCACTGAGTTCATGATATCTATCTACAAACTTTGAAGGCTTTCATGAATCTCAGACTGTTTAAGAAAATTTACAAATGAAAACACATATAAATTTTAATGAAATGGAAATTACCAGCTGTACTAATTTTGATAAATGTCTTAGTCTTTTACATTTAATGATTGTTATTTATTGGTGTAGCAAAGGCTGAAAATTCTAAAAATTATTATTCCATATGACACTCATGAACACCGTTCTTGAATTAAAATTCTGACAGATTCACAGGGGTGCTTTTTGATTTGTCTTCTCGATGCCAGAACTCAGGAAAAAATCAATTCTTCGAAAAATTATTAGTCAAATGATGTCATATCAGCTAAAAAAGTTTGTTTGAATAAATGAATGTATCAAATTTTATTATGCCATCAGATGTGCCATTACTGTAGTACTAATAAAGATGTAGGTGATCTCCTAGAGCAGCTACCCAAATGAAATACAATGCCAGCCACATATGTACTTGTAAATTTTCTAATAAATACATGAAAAATAAAATAAAATATTAATTTTAATAATATAATTTTATTGAACACAGTATATTCAAAATATTTCAACATGTGATAAGTGGAAAATAAATATCCATTTGACTTTT
Source organism: Homo sapiens (assembly GCF_000001405.40). NCBI lineage: Eukaryota > Metazoa > Chordata > Mammalia > Primates > Hominidae > Homo > Homo sapiens. The sequence continues at coordinate 238,825,840 of NC_000001.11, read as the reverse complement.
TTTGGTACTAAGTGCTTGTAATTCAGTGCTTATTTTATTCTTGGAGTGTATCTCATTTTGAACTAGACACATTTCAAGTGTTCAATAGCCACATGTGGCTCATGGTTACTGTACTGGACAATGCTACTCTAGAGACTGACTAAAAGCAATCACAATGCTCTTTTATCTTTTGAAGAATTATAGGCTGTTCTTTTTACTGAATTCTAATGCATTTTATTAAGGCTAAAATAAATAATGTCAGGAGTCTTCATTTGTAATGATCTGCAGCTGTGTAGTTTTATTGAAATTTTTAAAATTTGCAATTTGATAGATACTGTAGTTTATAGGTCTCAGCTCACTGCAACCCTCGCCTCTAGTTTCAAGAAATTGTGTTCCCAAGTAACTGGGATGACAAGCCTCCTGACTAGCTGGGATTATAAGCATGTGCCACCATGCCTGGCTAATTTTTGTATTTTTAGTAAAGATGGGGTTTCACCATGTTGGCCAGGCTGGTCTTGAACTTCCCACCTCCGGGGATCCACCTGCCTTGGCCTCCCATAATGCTGGGATCATAGATATGAGTCACCGCATCCAGCCAGTTTATAGGTATTTTGAATGTGCAATTTAGCTTGCAACTCTAGTAGCAAACCAAAAGGAAGTTCTTTCATATGAGATTGAGATTGAGATTGAGACTGATGTATGCTAATGGTCTGAAGAGTTGCTAATTAAAAATCAGGACATGTTATATGATTATTAAAATGAAAACTATACATTTTCAATTTTTCAAGGATTTGTTTTTGTGTTGACTGTAATTTTATAAAAAAACTAGTGTGTAAAATTGATATGTAATATGATTTTGAATACATCCATAAAATATAGGAAACATGTCTTGACTAGGATAAACAAAATTTGTGTACACTTTTTCAAACTCACCTTCATTGTTATGACTTATTTCTTAATTAACTAATAAGTAATTATTATGTATTATATTATATATATACTGTAACCAGCTCACTGTGAACGTTGCAGTGAGCTGAGATCTATAAACTACAATCTTACTAATTAATTAACTAAATAGTAATTATTACCAAATTTATTTCTTAAATTAACTAGTAAGTAATTAACATTTCTGGAGTCTGTGTGTTTTTAAATAATTAATAGAAAGTAGCTCTAGAAGGCTAAACATATGAAATATATTCAATAGAGCTGAATGATTTTTGGCCTTGATCATTAGCATGTGATATGAACTGAAAATGCATTTGCAGGGATACTCAAATTATGTGAATAACATGAAGAAAGCTGAACTACTGTAGCAATTTTTTATTAAGTAGGGGAATGAGGTGAAGGGAGAAGAAGAAGGGTAAGAAAAGATGTTGGTTGAATAATAATGTGAATAAAATAATGTGAATAAGAACTCAAAAAACTACATGAATGAGAACTCTTCAAGAGTGATGCAATCTTGTTTAAAACATAAATACTTAGGTTTGAAACTATGTATTGAAATAGTTCTTCAAAATAAAACAGAGACATACTACTGAACATTAATTAGTTTTGTGTTTGTTGCTTTTGCATGCATTGTTTTATTTTTTATTTAGATCTCATGAAAAAATTGAATTCCATTTTTATAAGTGAGATAATTGAAACTCCATTTTAAAAAATAATTCCTAACCGCTTATTATGTTGCTCCTTAAATAAGGTCAAAGATAGATAATACACAAATTATATCACTAAGAACTTCTAACATGTAATATGATCAGTCAGAGGGATATTATTTTTTTCATTAAATTCCAAAATAACATCTCAAAATTATGTTCAGTCCAAAGTATAACAGAGTCTAGCATTACGTTAACTACATTACCTATAATTTCATGAGAAATTACACATAGAGTTAAAATTTGATAAGTCTCATCTTTACATACCCTTCTTCAAGAAGAGGAAATTGCAGATCACTGATTGTGTTATGGAAACACCAAGGGTTTGTTATAGTTGCCATTGCTCACCACACTGAAAGCCAATCACTGGGGCAAGGAGTATTGCCAGGAAAGAAAGCTTTTTATTTGGGTGATGTCAAATGGAGAGACATGAGATCAGTTTCTAATCCATCTCTTTCAGCCAACTGAAATATATAAATTGAAGGTTTATATAGAGGGGAAGGAATGTAGCTACTTGTGAAAACCCAGAATTAGGAAGGAGTAAGGAAGCAATTGTGAGGGATGTGGTGTCTGGCTTCTCATGTGGATGCAGTGATCTGGTAAGTTTCAGTTTCTTGCCTGAGGGGGGTTTCCTGATGAAGGAACTCAGGTAAGATAAATGTAAGTTTCAAGTTTTAAGACCAGGGAGGGTTGATTTCTATGTTTATTTAAAAGACTGTAAACACCATTTCTGTGGGACAGCTGGGCTGGTTTTCATTGCTCTTAGAATATCTTTGGAAACACTTTGGCCTAAGAAGGCTTGAGATGGGAGAGTAGGCAATGTGGAGGCAGAAAAAATAACTCAGGGTGTTGAAAAGATGTGGAGTGGATGGGTCACACCCTTTTTTTCTTGCTACATATCTCAGAAGCCATATGTGTCAGCTCTGGGTTTAACACATTTTCTTTCTTTATTTTTAAATAGACTTTATTTTAAGAACAGTTTTAGAATCACAGCCAAATTGTGGAGAAAGTACAAAGATTTCCTCTATGCTCCCTACGTGCAAACATGTACAGCCTTACCCCACTACCAACATCCCCCACTAGAGTGATACATTTGTTACAACCCATAAACCTACATTGACACACCATTATCACTAAAAGTCGTAATCACGTAATGGTTTACATTAAGGCTTGCTCTTGGGATTGTGTGTTCTATAGCTTTAGACAAATGTATAATGACATACATGCACCATTATTGTATCATAGAAAATAGTTTCACTGCTTTACAAATCCTCAGTATTCCTTCTGTTCATCCTTCCCCTTCCCTCAACCCCTGGAGACCATTGATCCTTTTACTGTATATCTAGTTTTGCCTTTTCCAGAATGTAATATAGTTAGAAACACAGTGCATGGCCTTTTCAGATTAGCTTCTTTTACTTAGTAATATGCATTTAAGTTTCTTCCATGTGTTTTCATGGCTTGATAGCTCATTTCCTTTTAGTGCTGAATAATATTCCATAGCCTGGATGCACCACTGTTTATTCATTCATTCATCTACTGAGGGTCATCTTGGTGGCAATTATAAATAAAACTGCTCTAAAAATTCTTGTGCTGATTTTTGTATGAATACGTTTTTGAGTCTTTTGGATTGCTGAATCTAATGGTAAGAGTATGGTTAGTTTTGTGAGAAACAACTAAGCTGTCTTCCAAAGTAGCTGTTCCATTTTGCATGAGAGTTCCTGATGCTCCACATCCTCATCAGCATTTAGTGTTGCCAGTGTTTTGGAATTTTGCCATTCTAACAGGCATACAGTTGTATCTCATTGTTTTTTAAATGTGCAACTCCTTAATGACAATGTTGAGGATCTTTTCATATGCCTATTTATCATCTGTATATCTTTGATGAGGCGTTCAGATTTGTTGCTCCCTTTTTCATTGTTTTCTTCATTTGTTTTCTTGTTGCACATTTTTAAAAAATTGTGTATTTTAAATAACAGTACTTTATTTGATATGCTTTTGAAATATTTTCTTCTGATCTGTGGCTTGTCTTCTCATTCTCTTGACAGTGTCTTTCTTAGAGCAGAAATTTTTTATTATAATGAAGTCTTCTAGTTTATCAATTATTTCATGAATCATGCTTTTGGTGTTGTATCTCAGAAGTCATTACCATACCTAAGGTCTTCTAAATTTCCTCCTATATATTTTAAAGAGTTTTTTTGTTTTGTATTTTACATTTGGTCTACGATCCATTTTGCATCAATTTTTGTGAAAGATTAAGGTCTACATTCTTTTTTTTTTTTTTCCCTATAGATATCTAGCTGTCCTGGCATAATTTCTTGAAAAAGTCTATATTTTTTCCATTGTATTGCCTTTGCTACTTTGTCAAAGATCAGTTGCAATATTGATGTGGATCTATTTCTGGAGTGTCTATTCCATATCGGTTGATCTATTTGCCGTTTTTTTCCACCAGTACCATACTGTCTTAATTACTGTAGCTAATAGTAAGTCTTGAAGTCAGGAATGTTATTCTTCTAACTTTGTTTTTCTCCTTCAAGGCAGTATTGGCTATTTTGGGTCTTTTGCCAAATTTTTAAATTATATGAGTCTTTTTTTTTTTCCTTTCTGACACAGAGTCTTGCTCTGTCACCAGGCTGGAGTGCAGTGGTGCAATCCCGGCTCACTGTGACCTCCACCTCCTGGGTTCAAGGCATTCCCCTGCCTCAGCCTCCCAAATAGCAGGGACTACAGGCACACACCAATACACCTGGGTAATTTTTTGTATTTTAGTAGAGATGGGGTTTCACCATGTTGGCCAGGATATTCTTGATCTCCTGACCTGTGATCCACCTGCCTCGGCGTCCCAAAGTGCTGGGATTACAGGCGTGAGCCACCGCGCCCAGCCATATGAGTCTTTATATTTAAATTTTTTTGTTTGTTTTGGAAGCAATGTGGTGTTGAGTCTGTTTTTTATCCACTCTTAAGGTTTCTTTTATTTGGTATATTTTGATCACTCACAATAAAGTGATGCTTTCTAAAGTGGAATTAATATTTACTGTATTTGTTACTATTTTCTATCTATTAATTACTCGTTTTTTCTCTTTTCCCTCCCCTTTTTTTCTGTCATCTCATATTTTAATTGGGCATTTTCTGCAATATTTATCTCCTCTCTTAATATATCAATTATAATTTTTTAATAAAATTAGTGTTTCATATGTGTATGTGTGTGATTCTGTGTATGTATGTATGTATAAGTATACATACATATATACACAAATCTATATGTCGTATATATATATATATAGTCTAAGTCCACTTTCAAATTACACATTATAATTTGCAGCTGGTTTCTTATATCAATGTATTTTGAATACTTGACTCCTGTTCCTTATAACATTGATGTCATTCATTTTATGCCTCCATGTGTTATAATCAGTAGTGCATTGTTACTATTATTACTTTAAGTAAGCAGTTATCTATTAGATTAAGGATAAACAAACAATTTATTTTAGTTCTATTTATTCTTTCTCAGATGCTCTTATCTCTTTATGTGGCTCCAGATTTCTTATCTATATCAGTTTCTTTTTCTCTGAAGAACTTTTAATATTTCTTGAAGGGTAGTGCTCTCAGTTTTGTCTCCGAGTTTATGTATGCTACATCTTGAGGATAATTTCAGTGGATATGGAACTCTGGGTTGGTTACTTTTTATGTCAACACTTCAATATGTCACTCTACTGTCTTCTGTTTGTTTGCCTGGTTTCTGACAAGAAGTTCACTGTCATTTTTGTTCTTATTCCACTGTAGGTAATATAATTTCCTCCCTGTCTTTTTTCGATGTTTTGCTTTTGTCTTTGATTTTCTATATTTTGAACATGATATGACTAGACATAGCATTCTTTGTATTTATCCTGCTTTGTACTCCCTCAGCTTTGGTGTCTGCAATTAATCTTGAAATATTCTTGGCTACAATTATTTAATATTTTTAAAGCTCCATTCTATTTTTCTTCTCCCACTAGTATTCCAATATATATGTTACACCTTTTGAAATTATCCCAATATTTTCATGTGCTTTGGTCTGTATTTTGTTTTCATTTCTTATTCTCTTTTAATTTCAGTTTTAAGAAGTTTCTATTTCCGTATCTTCAAGCTAAATGATTATTTCATTGGCCTTGTTGTATACATTGGTGAGCCACTAGAAGGCATTCTTTATTTCTATTACCATGTCTTTGATTTATTGAATTTCTATGTGATTTGTTTTCTTAGACTTAATATCTTTCATCTTATATTCTCCATCTAATTTTGCATGTTCTCTAATTTTTTCTATTTGAACCATTTACATTTTAATCATAGTTAACTTAAATTCTTTTCTGGTAATTTTAAAGCCTATGTCATACTTGAGTCTAATTCTAATACTTGTTTTGTTTCTTCAGACTATTATTATTCTTGCCTGTTAACAAGCCTTGTAATTTGTTGAATGCCCAATACAATGTAGTGATAAATAGAAAATAAGATAAATAGGTCTTTAAGTGAAATTCGATGTTAATTTGGCTAGGCATTATAATGTGTTTAATATATACAAGCATGCAATTACACATATACATTTCTCAGGATGTCATTGCGTTGCTTTTTGTACTTCAAAGATGTAATGAGAATACCTTTATGGGTGTGTAGGGCATATAAATGTGTAAGGGCTTGAGAGTAGTATACAGAGTGACTTTCTAAGGACTTCGGGTTTTTAATGTTACTCCAATAGATGCAAACTGCTCTCTTAACAAGCACAGTAAATCAAGTATGATACGGGTAAATATTATTTTTAAATTTTACACTGAGATACTTTCCGTGTTAGGCTGAAACAGACAATAGATTCAGTTTGGATAATAGTAAGTCTGGCCTTCTGAAACAATAGCATACATTCTTATTATTTCTATCTTTCATTTGTATACATGCTAGCTTATCTATGAATGGATTAATGTTTTCAATTCTGACATAAATACGAATCCACACCAGTTCTAGGCAAAGCTATAAATTTCGGTGCTTCAAACAAAATTATTAGTACTAGATTATCCTCAAATCCCCAAAACTTATATAGAACAATAGAGAATAAGTACTCCTTTGGCTATAGATATTTGTAATAGAGGTAAACAATAAAAATAGACAGAATTTAAAATAAAAAATATTTCTTTTTATGTGATTAGCTGTAAAGGTTGTCATTGATACAAAATGTACATTCCTCATTTTGGGGAATATATCCCACATCAATAATTTGGGAATTTGATCTTGAAAGAAACTGAAGCTCCCATGCATCTCAGGAATTTGACTTCGATCCTTGTAATCGTTGTATTGTTAAGAGCATTTAGTAACTACATTATGAGAATATGGTCTCACTGCTGATGAGATAAAATGTCATAAGTAGACCAAGTTAAGTTAAATTCAAAGGCATATTTTCAATTGTTTCTACAAAAATCGTCCTATGAGAAATTATATGCCTAGAAATTTTCTAAAAATTTGAGGATTTCAGCTGCTTCATAATTTCTACATCATAGTCAGCTTTACTTAGCATTCATGTTTATGTTTGACTAAAATTCTGCTGAGATTATTTACTAAACCTACTTTTAAAAAGAAATACTTACAATGCTGGACGTATTGGGTACACTAACCAGGACTTTCTTCTTGTTTTTAGCAATGAGTATTTAATTACAGACAGACATTGAGTTAAAATTGTTTGTTTAATTTTAAATAGATGGGCTATTCAGTTTGAGAAAACGTTAGTAGTCTGGCATGACTGATGCAATGATCAACAATAATTAATGAAATAATTCTCTTTTTTTCTCAGATAAACAATTATAATTTGATATACAATGCACTAGGAGATCATGAAGAAATAAACTAACGTGCATCTCTCTCTGTGTGTGTGTGTGTGTGTGTGTGTGTGTGTGTGTGTGTGTGTGTTTCTCTACCGTATGATATAGGGAAAGAAATGCTAACAGTTTTATCTATGGCTTTCAAAAGTACAACTTAATGACAAGAACTAAGAGAAAATAAAATTGTTTCATTGGAGGGATACATTTTCATAACCAAACACATTTTTTTAGTTGAGAGGTATATGACAGTATAGTTCACCTTTTGAAAATAAGAAAAAGAGCTACATGTTTCAGAAATTTCTCTGGAGAACATTTCAAAATTCATGCCATTTTCCCTTATCTTGTTCTCATTATAAACAGAGCATTTTTAAATTGAAAGAACTCTATCTTCAGATTAGCTCAATATTTGAAATACAGGAAAAGTTTGGAATTCTGAACAATTCTGGCAAAAGAAAAGAGCTTAATATGCACATATATGTTAGTTTATACTAATTATATTAAAATTTCTGAGAAAATTTCTATCTAAATTGTATGAAAAGTATTTAAAATGTCCGTAAATAAATGTATAAGGTGACAATAGGGATGCCAAAAACAAGGTCTACTTTCATATTTCTGCGAATCAACACATTTTTTCTACACATCACTGCCATATGAAAGTAAATGCTATACCTTGCCATCAGAAAAACACATTTTATTTCTCATTATAGAATTGGAGGCATTTATGCTCTCCTTCAATACTTTGGACAAGTATTACATAGTGCATGGGCTTTAAAGGACCTCATCAACTATGATATGTCTACAATTGACAGACTGCCAATCAAAATGATTTAATGTTATAGTATACCTTTTGCAGTACTTATATGAAGGTAAGACCCATTTTGCACACTGTTATATATTATGAAATATGCTTTAAATGTGATGATTTTTATAGTAACTATATTCAAGAACCTTTTTTCAATGTCCATGAACCATAAGTTTGATAGGTTCTAATGGGCTACCAAGATGGAATACAAAACAAAACCACAAACTGACATTCTGGACTTTCACTTCTTCCCCTATGGAATAACCTCCACCAATGGTTTTTTGTTGTTGTTGTTTGTTTTTTTTTGCTTTGGACAAGAGGCAGCTCAAGACCCTGATTCTGAGAGATGAGAAAGAAACAAGTAGAGTCTTAGGATGGCCCAGGCTTTGTGCCTATGTAATTTGTTAAAATTCTTCACAAGGTGGGAGCATCAGGAGAGCATGGTTATCTCATTGAGCTAAAGAGACTAGAACTGAAGCTTGGGGACTTGGAGGTATGGGCAGAGTTATCAGAGAGGAGGAAGGTATACAGGGAAGAGCTCCAAATATTTCTGAAATATTTTCCTGAATATTCATGTGCACATACAAGGAGTGAAGCTTAGGCATGAAGTTGGGCAAGTAACTACCAGGTTATTGTAGGTAAAAATCGAAGGAAGCATGCAGAGTTTGAACCCCAACCAGTCAGAGTGGAGACACCCTGATGGATAGCTGGGGGAAGCAGGAGAGGACCAAGAAAGGTGATGCCTAGGCTAGGCCCAGTGACTCACGCCCGTAATCCCTGCACTTTGGGAGGCCGAGACAGGAGGATCACTGAAGTCAGGAGTTCAAGACCATCCTAGCCAACATGGTGAAACACTGTCTCTACTGAAAATACAAAAATTAGCCGGGCATGATGACTCATGCCTGTAATCAGAGCTACTGGGAAGGTGGAGACAGGATAATCACTTGAACCTGGGAAGTGGAGGTTACAGTGGGATGAGATCGTGCCACTGGACTCCAGCCTGTGCAACAGCAGAGTGAGACTCCGTCAAACAATAACAACAACAAAAACCTTAGGAGAGAGTAAAGCAATGCTTAGGGTAAGGCTTAAGAACAAGCCTTAAAGTGATCAAGCTCATCTGAAAATCTGAAATAGATCAGCTTCCTAAGAGCACTGATTCCCTGACTAAACTCTAAGCCCTCCAGGCCTTGTACTTTCTGTCTGTCCTTGGGCCTGCACTGCCCAGTTGTAGCAAGAATCTTGCAAAGTCAGTTGAATGAGATTCCCCCACCTTCAATATCTAATCAAATTCCTCATCCCTCACCCCTCCCAGTGATGTATGATCACCCTGGCCTGCCTTCAGCAAGAATGTTCTCAAGCCACTTCAGCCAGAATGTCCCAATACCTGATATTTCCTCAGTAATTTTCCATCTACTCACTGCCTCCCCTTGCAGTCTCTGCTCCTTGGCTGTAAATCGCCATTTATCCGTGCTGTTTTCAGAATTGAGGACAGTTCTTTGTGGAAGTCCCTTTTCCTCTATTACAAATTCTATAAGAAATTATACCGACTCTCTACAGTTTCTCCAGAAGACAGAAGCAAAGGGAGTACTTCCTTAACTCATTCTGTGATGCCAGAATTACCCTAATTCAATAAACCATACAAAAAAGATGTTACAAGGAAACTATGGTCAATCTCTCTCATCATTGTAGAGATGTCATGGTCCTTATCAAAATATCACCAATTCTTGAGGAAAATCTGTTTTTATTGCTTTAACTACTGTCTGCTTCTGGTTTTCTTTGATGGCACAAAACTCAGTATTCCTTAAAGAAAGGCAACACAATTCAGATAATTAATAATCTGTGATTCAAAATGTCCATCAAGAATCAAAAATTATTAGAGAAGAAAGTATGTCCCATATTCAAAAAAATTACTCATTAGAAACAGATCTGGGGAAGAAAAGTTTGAAAAAAAGTTTGAAAATATTTTATATTTAATAAAAATCTTTAAACCCACACCTCCTCACAGCTCAGCAAACTCAAAGCAAGATAAACAAATAAAATTATGCTAAAGCAAACCATCATAATCAAATTACAGAAAAGCAGTGATAAAGAAGAAATACTAAAAGCAGCCAGAGAAGGACAGGGGAAGCATTACATATAATAGTAAATAAATAACGACTAACCCTCTGCACAAAAAAAAATGCAAACCACAAGAAAATTGAACACCATATTTAATGTGCTTAAAGGGTGTAGTTTTAGATTTGATAAAAACTATTTTGCAGACTGAATATAAATGATCCAAGATATAAACGTGGATCTATAGAAAAGAAAAAGAACAATAGAAAAAATAAATATTGCAGTAAATATAAAACACTTATAATATTTTCTCACTTAAAACATTTTAATACTACAATGTGAAAAATATATATTGTGTAAAAAATAACCACAAGAATTACAGTTATTATATTAGTGTCAGAAGAACTAGACTTCAGAAAAAGTGATACTACCACTGACAAAAAAACTGAAAAACACTTTTCATAATAAAAGACAGTTACTTCCTCAAGGATTTAGTAAGTCTAAATATGTACGTATCTACATACAGAGTTTCAAAATACATGAAGCAAAAATTGATAGAATTAAGAAAAGAAACAGAAAACTTCATGAATGGAGTTAAAATTGGAACTTCTTTTCAGTAATTGATAGAACAATTACATAGCAAATCGAGAGGTATATAGATCTGAACAGCCATCACCATCTTGCCCTAATTGACACTGTAGAACATTACACCTGAAACTGTCAGAATACACATTCTTTTCAAGTGACATGGAATATGCACCAGGAGCTTCTTAAGTTAGGCCATAATAATAAGTCACAGTACATTTAATGCTTTTGAAATTATACATAGTTAATTTTTTGACCACAGCTGAATTACACTAAAATCCAATAATAATGAGATATTTTGGAAAATTTTAAACATTGTAAATTAAATAATGTACTTCTCCATATTCTATAGATATAAAGGAGAAATTACAAGAAAATTAGGAAATATTTCAAAATGTATGATCCTGATAATATAGTCTAATAAAATTTCTAGAAAGCCACTAAGACAGTTTAGTGAGGAAAATTTATAAGTTTAAGTGCAGAAATTAGAAGAGAATGATGGGCTAAAGTTAATTACATACAAGTTAGACATAGAAGGACAAAGTAAATCCAAAATAACTAGAGAAAAGGGAACAATAAACATGAGAACAGAAATGAACAAAATAGAAAATATGCAAATAATAGAGAAAATTAAACTAGCAAAAATCTGGTTCTTGAAAAGATAAACAAAATTGATAGCTCCTTAGCTAGGCTGATGAAGAAAAAGGAAGAGAATGTTTGTCATCAATATCAGGAATAAAAGGGGTGTTTACATAGGTCCTAAAAACATCGAAAGGATAATAAAAGCTTATAATAAACAACTTTATAGCCACACATTTGACAAGTTATATGAAAAAATTTACTGAAAACTATAACTTAACAAAATTGGAATACAAAATTTAGATAATCCTATGTCCTATGATTAACTGAATTTATCACCAAAATACCCTCCACAGTGGTACCTCCAATCCCACATGCTGTACTGGTGTATGCTACAAAATATTTTTTAAACAATTTAACACCAATCTTTATCTGTCACAAAATACAGGAAGAGGAAAAACATTACAATTAGTTTTATAAGGCCAGCATACTCTCTATAATAAGACCGACAAAAACATTAACAATAAAGAAAAATAATCTATATTTATCTAAGCTATAATATGATTTTAGCAACTCGAATCCAATAATACATAAACACAGTCACACACCATGACCATATGGAATTTAACCCAGCAAAGTAATCTTGGTTTGACATTCACCTAACATTTAACATAATTCACCACATTATAAAATAAAATAGAACAAAACTTTATGATCTTTCAATAGGTGATTTAAAAAGATTTACAAAAGTCAACATTCCCCTATGATAAAAATTCCCAAGAAACTAGAAATGAAAGGTAACTTTCTCTTCCTCGTAAAGGGCATCTACAAAAAAACCATGCATACTATAAATTTTTAGCACTTTCCCTTAAGATTGGGAAGAATGCAAGGATACCCGTTCTCACCCTTCTATTCTACCTTATGCTGATTGTCCTAGTTACTGCAAGAAAAGGTAGATGACATAGTTAATTTGGTAGAAAATCTTAACTATCAAACAAACACTAGACCTACTAAGTGAATTGATAAGCCGATAGGACACAAATTTAAGATATAACAATTTATTATAAATCATGTGTTTGATAAATATTATCCTCAGTGATTATCATACTTTGCTGAAACAAAGAAATGATGTAATAAATATGAAATGCCTTTTAATATTATAAAGAGCTAGTTTAAGGTATTATTTGTCAATGAGTTCCAAATAGCATTCAGTTCCTAATAGCCATATTTGAAGGCACTCAAAAAATTATAAAATTATTTAATAATCCTAAAAATCCAATTATAGTTGTGTGTACTGGCAAGAAAAATGTTATCATATAAATTAAAATGAATATTTTATAATAATTCCAAAAACATGGAATACTAAGGGAGAAAGAGTGCCTAAGACTCTTCACCAAAAAAACTGAAGATTGCTGAGAGAACTTAAAGGAAAGCTAAATAATGATGAGAGATATTTTGTTTGTGAATTGGAAGACTCGATGTTTTCAAGATGTCATTTAATTACAAATTAATCTATAACGTCCAAAAAATTATAAGTATAATTTCATCAGGAACCTTTTAGACATTATTGAATTTATTATAAACTTTACATAGAAATGTTAATGGCACAGAAAGCCAAACAATTTTTATTTTATTTATTTTTATTTTTTGAGACAGATGCCCAGGCTAGAGTGCAGTGGCGTGATCTTGGCCCATTGCAACCTGTGCCTCCCTGGCTCAAATGATTCTCCTCCCTCAGCCTCCCGAGTAGCTGGGACTACAGGCATGCACTACCACACCGGGCTAATTTTCATATTTTTATTAGAGACGGGTTTCACAATGTTGGCCAGGCTGGTCAAGAACTCCTAACCTCAAGTGATCTGCCCACCTCAGCCTCCCAAAGCACTGGGATTACAGGAGTGAGCCAATGCGCCCAGCTCCAAACAATTTGTAAATGGATGAGCAAAGTTGGGAAAAATATAACACTTGATTTCAACACTTATTACAGTGAACTCCATTGCTAAACAGAAGTAACAGGATGAGATTTACCCTCCAGCCTTAAAAACTGAAAATAAAAGAACAAAACATATAAGTCTTCAAATTTTTGTTACATTTTATTTAGTGAAATATTTTGTACTTGTTCATATGCTTCCCTTCCAACTAGGCTATAAACATCTTTTAGCACACAGCTATGTCTGATACTCTCCTTATATATACTCTGAGATTCGTAGAATGCATACACCACCAAGCTGAAAGACAACTTTGGACCAAGTTGAAAGCATAGTAAAACTAAAATGCTGTTAAATATTTATGGGAGGTAAAGAGCTTTCTACGAAAATATGAGTCTTGAAGCTGTTCAGACACAGATTTGAATTCATCTCTGCCCTTAACTAGCTAGGATTCCTTGGGCAAGTCTGCAATCCTTAAATTTTTTTTTTTACGGGAAAATAAAATAATGTCTACCTCATTGAATTGTTGTGAGGAGTTGATAGATTATACAAGTAAATTGCTTTATAAAGTAATAGGCACACAAAATCTGCTCATGATAGGTAAGTTCTTAGATTTTCTCCTATTAGCAATGCCATATTGTAGCTAGAGAAAACCATGTTACAGTAAATGTTCTGACTTCTCTGTATGCCATTGCTTCCAAATGAGAATTTAATGGGCTGAAAGCAGATGGAAAGGCACATGGGGCCCCTGAACACACACATATTCATTTTCTCTCATATGCAGTCACTGGTAGTTCTTACACTCAAACTTCCTAATTGCTGCCTTTGAACTCCCCAAGGACAGGGTTGATTTAGGACAAAACCCAGGAGAGAATAAAAAAGAAATAGGCAATCAAGACAAAGTAATTTTCCTCAAGGGAAAAGAAAGAGGGCACCCTAGGAATCTGTAGATATTATTCCAAATCCTGAGAGAGATAAATGACTTTTAGAAAACAGATGGTTGCAATCAAATAAATGATCACAAGTCTTTACACTGAGTCAGATGCCACATCATTGGAGATAAGATAAAATACAAGCTTTAGTGAGCCGAGAATCACCCAAGACTCATACAGAATATTTTAACAAACTTTTTCAATAAAGACTTACGTTGCACTTGCTGCTGCCTTTAAATTTTTTACTACAAATAAAATCGTCAAACTTTTCCATAAAATGAAAATATATGATTTTCGATATGATGGAAAACATATAGTAAATAGATGGGATTCTTCGATAGCTATTCATTTTATGAATTTCTTTTGTTTTTCTCTTTGCTTTCATGTATACTTGTTTCATATATTTTATACTTGCAGTCATCAACTTTTTTTCTGGAAACATTAGGTTTCCAGAAAACTTAATGATTCAAAAAACACTAAGCACATATACATTGTAGCAACTTGAATCCATGCATCTCTTAACCATGAGAATTTGTTCTTAGAAATGCATGGTTAGGAGATTTCATCGTTGTGCTAACATCATAGAGCACTCAGAGCATCATAGAGCACTCATACTTAGACAGACATAGATGGTATGGCCTGTTGCTCCTAGACTGCAAAACCGTTCAACAGGTCATTATACTGCATACTAGAAGGAAATAGTAACACACCAGTAAGTGTTTGTGCAACAGGAATTTTTCAATTTCTTTAGAATCTTATGGCACCACCATCATATATATGGATTGTCATTGACCAAAATGTTATGTGATTCATGAATGTATTTCAAATATAATGAGCACTTTATTTTTATATTTACATGGTAAACGTGTATTAATATGGCATATATTCATTAAACAAATATTTATTAAATGCTTATTATTAAGAGATCACTGGGCCAGGCTCTCAGACTATAACAGCAATTAAGATCATATCTCTATAGATCTCTGTCTCTATATAAATATTTAAGATACTACCAGTTTAAGGAGGGAATGATTGGCATGATCATTGCTCTGGTAAGATAAATATGTATCAAGGCAGGGAAAAGAGACTCCTAAACTAGTAGTAGCAAGGTCAGCGTAAGAGATTGGTTAATAACATGGATGCAGTCTAATCTAAATTGAATTGTGAAAGATAAATTAGAGCCAGGGTTGAAAGAGAGGTGCGGGCGGGATGAGGATATTCAACATTGAAATAACAAAGAGTAAAATGTGCAATCAACGGAAAAAACCTTGGTGCTATCTGCAGATTCATGTGCATCCAGCGTAGCATTCATACTGGACCGGCATCCACAAATAATTACCAAGCAATTTAAAATATTTTCAACAGTGAGAGGAGGAAGGAAGAAACTGGTCAGGCAGGCAGGGTGGGTCTTTGGTAAAACTCCTTCAAACCAAGAACAGCCTGAAAATCAAACCGCAGGCCCCAGGTAAGAAAGCGCCCGCGTCCTTGAATGGAAACACCTACTCGGTGAAACTGCATGAACAAATTCCATCCACTCCTTTTGTGGACACATTTCCCTCTCCCTGGCCACACCTTAGTCTCTAACTTTTCACCTATTTTACATATACTACCTTTGTATGATTGGCCACTGAGTAGTCTTCATTTACATAGGGTGAATCATCACGTCAGCTCCTGATTGGTCCTGGGCCAAGCCTCCACCTCTGCCTCCAAGTGGTTCCTTTTTTTTTTTTTTTTTTTTTTTTTTTTTTTTTTTTTGAGACAGAGTCTCGTTCTGTCGCCCAGGCTGGAGTGCAGTGGCGCCATCTTGGTTCACTGCAACCTCCGGCTCTCGGGTTCACACCATTCTCCTGCCTTAGCCTCCCGAGTAGCTGGGATTACAGGTGTCCGCCACCACGCCCAGCTAATTTTTTGTATTTTTAGTAGAGATGGGGTTTCACCGTGTTAGCCAGGTTGGTCTTGATCTCCTGACCTCATGAGCCACCCGCCTCGGCCTCCCAAAGTGCTGGGATTACAGACCTGAGCCACTGTGCCCGGCCTTAGACTATCACAGAGTGGTGCTTTCTCCAAAACAGCCTGCAGACCAGTCAGCACACCCCTCCCCATTCCCAGTCCATAAAGTCCCGGGACTCATCCTCATAGTTGGCAGCCCTCTTTACGGTCCCCTCTCTTTGCTGAGAGCTTTTCTGTCACTTAATAAATCTGACTCTGACTTACTCACTTTCCAGTATCATTATACCTTATTCTTGTTTGTGGGATAGGAACCTGGAGCTCGCTGGCAGTGGGAGTAAAGAGCTGTAACACTGCCTCCCACCACGGAGCAACAGGAGTGAAAAAGCTGCAACAATAGTTTCTAAGAATGTACTAACAGGTGTATGGTGGAGTTAAATGTGTAATTTACAAAACTGTTCATATCTTTTCCCTCTATTTCTCTTAATATCTTGCACGTTTCTCAGTTGTTCCCAATGCTTTCCTTCAACTATAGAGCCAGCCTGTGAAACCAGGTTCCTAAACTCTCCCTAGAAAGCTTCTTTAACCCTTTCCTCTCTTCAAAACCCTTACCTCTTAAAGATAGATATCTTGTAGCCATTTCTAATATAAATTAAACTAGTCTATAAACCACCGGCCACATGTAGCCCTACCTGGATTCATTATGTTAATTTGCAAAATAAAGTCTAAAATTAGATTATGTAAAACACGATTTTCTCTATTATATATTCATTCAAAAATATTGATTGTAATCCATGAAGAGATAATAATGGTACTAAAAGTCAGTGGTATGAATTCAAAAGATAAACAGGAATTAACAAGTAATAATTGCAAGGAATGAGGAAAGAAGATAAATTCAAGACTATATGACTGGTAAATAAATTAATGTTTTTTATATTTAAAAGATGAACTCAAGAATAGTAACAGTTTGAGATGGGGATGAAAATTTCCATTTTGGACATTTGGGTTTAAATTGTTTAGGGAACACACTAATAGAGGAATTTAGGAGCCAGGTAATTTGATGTACTGTTCTAAAATTCATAAGCGCTGTCTAGATGCTGATACTGATTTGATTATCATCAAGCTTGAGGTATAAATTAGTGCGTGGGAGAAAAGACTTCATGAAAGAGAGTATGCAGATTGAGAAGAAAAAGGAAAGGAAGACAATTAAACCTAACTAAGAAGTCCCTTATAGAAGTCCGGAATAGAAAGTAATTAAGATGAGGAAGTGATTCTCTGGGGAGTTGGAAAACAAAATAACATTCAAATTCACATTTTAGATTTACCAGAGAAGTGGATCACTTTGACGAGAATCATTTTCAGTTGAATGATAAGCACTCAATCTTTAGAATATAGATAACCGCTAGGAAATATAATTGTGACGGGGAAAAGAAGAGAATACAACAGGCAATATGCTTCTTTTCTTTTCTTCCTTTCCTTTATGATACAGAAATTTCTTTGTGCATTATCCAATGCTGTAGCCTTTTCTCTAAATATGAAACTCTATGTACATGTGTAAATCTAATTTCTTCATTATCAGGAGTGCACATTGTATCCACTATTGTTAACATTCTGATGGATGCTGAGGATTCTTGAGACTTTCAACATACAGAAGATGTTGGCCTTCAGTGAAATATTGTCCTTGTCAAAGGCTGTGAGCAAATGAAAAGTTCTCTCAAGGGTCTTCCTTCAGTGAAGCTTTCATCTTGATCTCCTCTTTCCTAAATTATCTAATAACAGATGCCTCTACCCTTTGTGTCAGTACTGACTTCTTCTTTCTTTCATACCATAGATTCAATCAATCGGGAAATCCTTTAACATAAACCCAGCGTTTAACATAAACGCAGCAATTGACAAATTATCTGTTATCATCATCTCTCATTTGGATTATAGGAGTAGGTTCCAGGATTATATATGTAATTATGCTCTTGATTTCATTTGGTCTATTCTCTTCTTAGCAGCAGCCAGAGTTTTTGTTTTTTTGTTTTTGATTAAGCCAATGTGTAGCAAACCATAGACAACTGCAACAAAGCACATGCCTATCAGTTTTGCCAGAGCAATTTCTACTGGGAACAACTCACTGAGGCAGGACAATAACAAAAGTGTGAGCCCCCTGCCACCCATTGCATTGTAGGAAAGTGCATAGCGATCTAATATAAACGGGCATAAGTCTTAGAGAGAGATGCTGACCTGAGCCTTGTAAGAGCATAGTTATGGAAGTGCTCCCGTGTGCCCTGATCACAGACTGAGATCCAATAGCAAGACGGCAGCCCTATTCTGCCAGCTCACAGTTACAGGAACACAACTCCCTATGGAGTAATAAAGGAAATGATACAGCCCTATAGTTGCAGCTATATGAGGAGATGAGCCAGTAGTATGATTTGCCACCTTAGCACTAACAGTTGGAGAGCAAGAAGCCCTCCCTTTCATGTAAGTATTTTAGCTGATGGGATTCATTTCTTAATCACAAGGCTATTGCTGGTCTCCATGGTGCTCTCAAACAGGCCAGCTTCTTTTCTTTGGGAGGACAGCCTGCAGGAAATCATTTTTGAATCAATTGACCTTTTCCTTTCAGCCAGATAGTGTCACCCTTCTACTCAGCAGTAACTTCCAATGGCTTCTCATTAAACTTGGAATAAAATTCTAAACCCTTACCGTGATTATTAAGGCCCTGCAGGAGTCAACCCTTTTATTGCTGTCTCTGGTTCTATTTCCTACCATTCTCTTTTTCATCACTGCACTCCAGCCACCCTGGCCTTCCTTTCCTTCTTCAAACAAGGCTTTCCATGGACATAGTGAATGCCATTGCAATTCTCTTGTCATTACATATCTGAAGATGGGTGTTTTCCAAAATCTTGGCACGTTGTCAGCCATCATCTTTTCCTTTGATCTGTTATGATCTATGTGTGATTTTGCTTCTTTAGTTTATTAATATAGTAGATTGCTTTTACTTATTTTCAAATATTGAACCAGTCCTGCATACTTGGAATAAACCCCAGTAGTCCATGGGGTATAATTCGTTTTTTTAAAAAAAATTTTAGGTTGTGTTTGCTAATATTTTGTTGTGCGTTTTTGTGTCTTACTT
Organism: Homo sapiens; assembly: GCF_000001405.40. Classification (NCBI taxonomy): domain Eukaryota; kingdom Metazoa; phylum Chordata; class Mammalia; order Primates; family Hominidae; genus Homo; species Homo sapiens. The sequence continues at coordinate 238,806,420 of NC_000001.11, read as the reverse complement.
AATGAGGGATATTGGTCTATTTTTTGTTTTTGTTTTTACACTACTTTTGTCTGGTTTTTGTATCAAGGTAATTCTTGCTGCATAAAATTAATTAGGAAGTGTTCCCTTATCTTCTATTTTCTGAAATGGATTGTTCAAAATTGGCGTTAATTTTTTCTAAATGTTTGGTGAAATTCTCTAGTGAAACCATCTGGGCATGGTTATTTTATTTTATGGAACTTTAAGTGTTAGCTCCAACTTCTTTAACAGTTGCAGTGCTATTCAGAACATAAATTTTATACTGGATAAGTTGTGGAAGTTTGTGGTTTTTGAGGTGTTAGTTCTTTTCTTCTAGGTTGGGTTATATTTATAAGCATAAATTTATTCCTAGTATTTACTTATTAACCTTTTATAGCTACACAATCTATAGGGGTATCCCTTACCTAATTCCAGATATTGGTGATCTGTGTTTTTCCTATTTTTATTTTTGTTAATCTCCCCACAGTTTTAACAACTTTATTGAATTTTTTGAAGTACTAGTTGTTTATTCATTTTTCTCATTTTTGATTTTCTTGATTCTCCTTTTATGTTTCTTATTTTCTTCCTTTTGCTTACTTTGAATTTATTTTAATCTTCTTTTTCTAGGTTTCCTGCAGGAGACTAAGTTATTTATTTGAGATCATTTCTTATTTCATACGAGAAATGTTCTGCTCAGTCCTGCTTTAGTTGCATACCACATAATTTGATAAGTAATATTTTCATTTTAACTCAGTTTTTTTTTCACTTTAAAATTTACTTTGAGACTTTTTTTCTGAATCATGGTTTTTTAGAAGTGGTTGTTTTATGTTCTGTGATTGAGTTCTAGTCAAATTTCATTATGGTCGGAGAACACATTCTATATGACTTCTCTTCTTTATAAAGTTTGTTTACTTTTTTATTAGCGAGGATCATAGGTTCAATATTGATAAATGTTTCATGGATGTTTGCAAAACATATCTATTTTGCTATTTTTGACTACAGTGTACTCTATGTGCAGATTATATCCTGTTGATTGATTGTGTTATTCAGATCTTCTATATCCTTGGTTATAGAACATAATCAAGGATATTTCTCTCTCATAATTCAGTCCATTGCTGAGAAGCATGTGTGTGCATTACATTTTTAAAATAATCCTCGGTTCCACTTCTATACCACTTTGGAAGTGTAGCTTTATTGAGCTATTACTTATGTACAATAAAATTTACCAACTTTACTTGCATAATTTAATACATTCTGATAAATGTGGATAATCATGTAAGCACCACGAAACTTATGAAAGAAAACATTTCCATTAACTCAAAAGTTTTCTACAACTCCTGGCCCTTGACAATCGTTTATTTTCTTTCTATCAGTATAGTTATGTGTTTTCTAGAATATCATATAAACTGGAATCCTACAGTAGGGAGTTTTGGGGTCTGATTTTTAACATGTATCATAATGCTGTTAAAATTAATCTATGTTGTTTTGAATTACAGTATTGTTATTTTTTATTGGTGATATATTCCATTATATGGATAGACAACAATTCTTTTAAACTGTTATCTATTGATGGACATCTGTATAATTTCCAATATTTGGCTATTATGAATGAACCTTCTATGAACATTCATGTAAAAATCTTTTTGTGGACATGTTTTCATTTTCCCACATAAATATCTAGTTGTAGAATGACTGTCTTGTATAGTATTTGTATAACTTTATTTTCTCACAAAGTATTGAAGTTTTTTTTCCAAAGTGACTATAATATTCTACATTCCCATAACTGTTGGTCCACATCCTTGACAATATTTGGTATTGTTGACTTTTTAAAGGTTGTTTTTCTAGTGGGTGTGCAGTGGTATCTCATTATAATTTAAATTTTAATTTCCCTGTAATTAATTTTGTTAAGGATATTTTTATGTACTTATTTGCCACTGTATGTCTCATTTTTCTGAGTTATTTTATTAATTTTTAATATTGGTTAATCTTTCTATTCTTGAGTTATATAAGATGTTCTTCATATATTCTAGAGAAAGGCCCTTTGTCAGATTTATATTTTTACATATTTTCTCCCATTTTGTGCATTGCCTTTTCTTATTACTGTACTCTAAATATAACTTTTTTATTTTGAGAAAGGCGTTTTACTGATTATATTCCTTTTGTAGTGTGTGATGTTTAAGCCTTATTTAATAAATCTTGCCAAATTCCAAAGTCACTAAGATTTCCTTTTATGTTTTTCTTTGAGAAGTTTATAGTTTCATCAACTACATTTAGGTCTATTCATGGTAATTTTTATATATGGTTAAAGGCAGGAGCCAAAAAATATTATTTTTTGTGTGGTATATGTATGTGGTATATGTATATCCAATAGTTACAACACAATTTCTTGAAAACATTATCCTGTCTCCATTTAATTTCCTGAAACCTCTGTCAAATACTAGAATGCTTGAATGGCTCTATTTCTGAATTCTCATATTCTGTACCACTTATCTATTTATTTTTATGATTTTAATACTTACATTAAAGCTCATGTAACTTACTTGCTTGATTATGATAACTTTAATGTAAGTATCAAAGTCAACTGGTGATGATCTACATTTTTTACTTTTTCTTTTTTTTTTTTTTTTTTTGAGATGGAGTCTCGCTCTGTTGCCCAAGCTGCAATACAATGTCATGATCTCGGCTCACTGCAACCTCCGCTCCCTGGTTCAAGCAATTCTCCCACCTCGGCCTCCCGAGTAGCTGCAATTACAGGCACCCACCATCATGCCCGGCTAATTTTTGTATTTTTGTAGAGATGGGGTTTTACCCTGTTGGCCAGGCTGGTCTTGAACTCCTGACCTCAGGTGATCCGCCTGCCTCGGCCTCCCAAAGTGCTGGGATTACAGGCATGAGCCACCGTGCCTGGCCCAATTTTTTACTTTTTCAGATTTGTTTTTCTCTATTTTAGGTCTCTTGCATTTTTACATTAATTTTAAAATGAGTTTGTTTATTTCTACCCAAAGCAATCTGGGAATTTGATTGTTATTGCATTGAATCTATAGTTCAGTTTGGACAATAATCCACATCTTAATAATGTTGACTTTCCAAATGCATGAATGGAGTATACTTCCCCACAAATAATTCTACTTTAATCTTTCTCTGCAATATTTTCAGTTTTCTGTGAATGGATCTTGCATATACTTTGACAAGTAAAATCATTTTATACTTCTTGATGCTGTGTTTTAAATTTGAATTTAAATGTTATAAGTTTATCTAGTCTATAGAAATCCAATTGATTTTTTGTGTATTATATTTGTTAATGTCTTCAGAGAAACAGAACCAATAGAACATGTATTATGATGAGATTTATTATAGGAATTGGCTAACATGATTATGAAAGTCAAAGAAGCTTCACCATCTGCTATCTGCAATCTATATAACCAGGAAAGCTGGTGGGTACCCCACCTCCAGCTTCTCCAGGGCCTGGGCATGGAGAAGCCACTAAGGGATGTTCAAAAATGAAGGTCAGAGAATCCAGAACGCTGATGTTAGAAGTCAGGAGAACTTGGATGTCCCAGCTAAAGAAGAAAGAGAAAATTCACCCTTCCTCTGCCTTTTGTTCTATTCAGGCCCTCAAGGGATTGAAAGATGCCTATTCACATTGGTAAGGGGGAGTCTTCTTTACCCAGTCTACTGATTCAAATGATAACCTCTCCCAGTAACACCCTCACAGACACACCCAGAAATCATGCTTTACCAGCTGCCTTGGCGTCCCTTAACCCAGTCAAGTTGACCCTTAAAATTAACTGTCACGATATTGACTTTGCATTCTGCAAATTTGCAAAACTTGTTACTTTTAATAGCATTTTTGTAGATTCCTTAGAATTGTCTACAGACAAGATTATCTTGTCTGTGAAAAAATACATTTTTAAATTTTTCTTTCTTATATCTATAGGCCCATGACGACTGTTAGTAGCAGGCTAGTAGCCATCTGGCTGAAATTATTGCTGTAAGAATGGATGTGTATCTTTATCTTAGCCATTCTGTATTACCTTATAATATTTTGCTATCAGAAACAGAACCAGAAAACTCTCTCTCAGTTCTGGAGGCTGTAAGGATCTAAATCCCCATTTTTTTTGGTCGTAAGTCCAGCCACATGGAAAAATTTAGGCAAAAGAGAGGAAAATCGTAGAGAGAGCGTTTTGACGGTATTTGAGTTTCTGCTTCCAGCTCATTCCACCTACGGCCAGGCAACAATTTCACTACGGAGGTTTATATATTGCTCCTCCTTTTAGATTATTCTCAACTAAGTTTGAATTGGGCTTATAATATTTGCAAGTGAAATGATCTTGAGTAATAAAATTGCAATGAATTCTGGGGAATGTAACATATTTAAAAGTAATATGAATGCCAAAAGAGCATGAAAAGTGGGAGAGAGGAAACAGAAGTATGCTGATTGACAGGTTCAACAGTAACTGCATTTTGAAAGTAGGTAACTGTCACCCATTGTAAGGAGGCGTTGTACCAGATAAATCTGTGTATTACCACAAATATATTCCATACAAGTCTAATTATGAAATAATTAGAAAATAAACAGTGTAGAGATCGAAACTATACAATTTATAAAAAGACCAATGTAACAAAAATTCTGTCAAGTTATATTAAAAATGCAGAGAGACGTGCATGCACATATGCACATGATTAAGATTTATAAGAGGCCGGGAGCGGTGGCTCACGCCCGTAATCCCAGCACTCTGGGAGGCCGAGGCGGGCAGATCACGAGGTCAGGAGATCCAGACCATCCTGGCTAACACGGTGAAACCCCATCTTTATTAAAAATACAAAAAATTAGCCGGGCGAGGTGGCGGGCGCCTGTAGTCCCAGCTACTCGGGAGGCTGAGGCAGAAGAATGGCGTGAATCCGGGAGGCGGAGCTTGCAGTGAGCCGATTTCACGCCACCGCATTCCAGCCTGGGCGACAAAGCGAGACTCCGTCTCAGGAAAAAAAAAAAAAAAAAGAACCATAAGAGGAGATAGTCTGCCCTATGTGACAATTCTGTGACAAAACATTTTTCTTAATCCTTATGAAATAATGACATTTTTTTTCCAGGCAAAGGCAATTTACTAAAAAGAAATCAATTAGAAGTAGAATATGTAGATAGTCTAATAAATATATCTCAACAGCTGTTAATGAATTCCAGCAAAAAAGTACCAGGTACAACTAATTTTTAAAAAGTCATTCTTGTTAACTTTCAAATAATGTGCAAAGTAAATAGCATAAAATTTTTCTAGGGAAAATAATAATGTACATATTAGTTTTAATTAATATTTCATTGTTATATATATTTTGTTATTATATTTTTACTGCTCCGTGTATTAGTTTTTAAATATTTATGCTTGTTTTTCTCTTTGTCTTTCTTTTTTTTTATTTTTGAGACAGAGTGTCACTGTCACCCAGGCTTGAGTACAGTGGCATGATCTCAGCTCACTGAAACCTCTGCCCCCAGGTTCAAGTTATCCACCTGCCTCACCCTGCCTGAGTAGCTGGGAGTACAGGCACATGTCACTGCCCTTGGCTAATTTTTGTATTTTTTTTGGTAGAGATGGGGTTTCACCATGTTGTCCAGGCTGGTCTTGAACTCCTGACCTCAAGTGATCCACCTGCCTCGGGCTCCCAAAGTGCTGGGATTACAGGCATGAGCCACTGCACCAGGCTGGCTTTTTTCTTATTTTTATAGTTCTTAGTTTGCTTATTTTCGAATTTTGGTGAGAAATAAAAGTATGCTATTATGTTCTCATTATTCACTTACAAACCTTCATGCTTGTCAAATGATTACATTAGAGAAACTCATAAAATTTTGATATTTTACAGGAGGTAGGAAGCAACAATTAATTTATTTCTCTGACGCTTGCTTAGTTCTCATTTCAATATCTTGTTTTGCAATAGCCTAGATTCAAATTTAAATTCTCTATTGAGAGGACTTTACTAATTTTTTAGATAACCGATTTAATTTTGAAGTACCTTAATCGGAAGAAACAGAAAATGTGTGTTGAGAACTTAACATTTTTATTTGCAGGTTCATTTTTATATTTTTGGGGAGAGGTGAGGGTATTTGGAATGCGGGGATTTGCATCTGAGTTTAGAGTTTATTAAAACTATCTAGTGCTATTGGACTGTATTTTTTCATTATGTGTTTTTTTTTCCGTATATTAATTTGAAGGCAGGGCACTGTGCCATAAAGGAAGCAGGACGGAATTTAAAGCATGTCTGAAAATAAATATCAGAAAAAGGCAGATAAGTGAATATGTCCCTAATCAGCTATTTATTTTGTGTGTGTATAACTATATGACTATATAATCATATTGATATGACAAAATTCTTATTTCTAACTTTGATTCAATTGATGATATAGAGGCAATCTTGGGATCATCGTTCTTATACAGATGCTGCCCAATAAACCCACTATAAGTTGAAAATATCAAAAGCGCATTTAATACACCTAACCTACTGAAAATTGTAGCATAGCCTAGCCTACCTGAAATGTGTTCAGACCACTTCCATTAGCGTAGTTAGGCAAAAACATCTAAAACAAAGCCTGTTTTATAATAAAATGTAGTGTATCTATGCAATTTATTGAATACTGTGCTGAAAGTAAAAAAACAGTGGCTGTATGGGCACTCAAAGTACAGTTTCTACTGGAAGCAGACTACTTTCACACCATTGTGAAGTTGAAAACTTGTAAGCCAAACCATTTAATGGGGAATCATCTGTATTCTCACTGTAAAGTAAGAATGTTAACATTATTTGTGGCAATATTAGTAAGAATATTAATGTTTTTAATGTTCTGTATGTTGTTACACTGCAAGACATTCCTATTTAAAATCAGAAATTGAAGATAAATCATTCATTATGCAAATGAACAGTAAAAATATTATTTGATATATAGCCATGAATAATCATCATTCAGTTATGATCCAATTTCCTGAAACTCAAATTTTCATCCTGACATTTTGTTTTAAAATGGTGCAACACTTTTTCCTTTGAATTTATTTTGTATGAACTTTGAAACAACCCGTCTCTAATTATCCATTCACAAACAATAGCTAATTGATTTTTGTAATTTTCTACTCTATCATCTACCTCCAGAGAAAATTAGGCTCATATCATGAAATTATGGGCTCATTTTACCTTTAGAAATGTTTATTAGAATTTTGGTTTGAGAGCTGGCCTCCAAGAGTTTGCATTTAAGCTAAGATACTAGTAAAGAATGGATGCAACATAATCTAATATCTTGAGATAAAATAGTATAAATGTGGACACAGTAAATACTAAAATGTTAAAATATGTACTTTGATTTCTTAAAAGACAAAATAGTAAGTGTTGATTTTCAAAGAACATATCAGATCATTCTTAGTTTATAGAATTTGAAAATAAAGACGTTGAGTGAGAATTTCCCTGAGATAATTTACCAAGCTACAAAAATGACTATTAAGGCTTGAGGACAACGAAGTTTCAAAGACTTGGAGAAATTAATCGTTGGTATTTGAAACACTCTGGGGTAATTCTAGGAAGAGGTTTAAAAAATCATTTGTGTTTCAGGTGCACTTGTGCTGTCCAATACAGCAGCCACTTGCCACATAGAACCATTTAAACTTTAGTTTAAATTAGTTAAATTGAAATAAAATAAACTTCTGCAGGTGCACTAGCCACATTTTAACAGTTCTATAGTCACCAACAGGTCAGAGGCTATGCAGCTGTCAGTGCAGAAATCATTGCCATTACCACACAAATGTTATTGAACAAATGGAGACGTCCAACAATTGTGAATGTGGGTTTGAGGGTGAGAAGTGGGATTATGCATAAAATCATTGATTCTGTGGTTGCCCACAGAAAATGAGAGTTGGACCCATGAAATAAATAGGATTTACAAGAAAGCTAACATACAATCCTTTTTGGAATATCTACCACTAAGGGCAGAAGAAGGAAGATTGTACAATAAAACAGATAATATTTTGCAAAAAAAAGGAAGATCCAAGCCCTGCTGATATCAAGATCTTGAATGGTTGGAACAATAAGTTTCATATCATAGAGAAAAATCCTTGCATAATGTGCTTTCAAAAATTGGGCAACATGCAGTCCAGTCTCACATAGAATAGCAGAGACATTCCCAGAGTAGCCTGTGGAGAAATAGGAACACTTTTACACTGTTGGTGGGGGTGTAAATTAGTTCAACCATTGTGGAAGGCAGTGTGGCGATTCCTCAAGCATCTAGAACTAGAAATACCGTTTGACCCAGTAATCCCATTACTGGGTATATACCCAAATGATTATATATCATTCTACTATAAAGGCACATGCACACGTATGTTTATTGCAGCACTATTCACAATAGCAAAGACTTGGAACCAACCCAAATGTCCATCAGTGATAGACTGGATAAAGAAAATGTGGCACATATACACTGTGGAATACTATGCAGCCATAAAAAAGGATGAGTTCATGTCCTTTGCAGGGACATGGATGAAGCTGGAAGCCATCATTCTCAGCAAACTAACACAGGAACAGAAAACCAAGCACCACATGTTCTCACTTATAAGTGGGAGCTGAACAATGAGAACACATGGACACAGAGAGGGGAACATCACACACTGGGGCCTGTTTGGGGTTGGGGGGCTAGGGGAGGGACAGCATTAGGAGAAATACCTAATGTAAGTGACTGCTTACTGCTTAGAAATACCTAATGTAAGCATTAGGAGAAATACCTAATGTAAGGTTGATGGGTGTGGCAAACCAACACGGCACGTGTATACCTATGTAACAAAACTGCACGTTCTGCACATGTATCCCAGAACTTAAAGTATAATAAAAAAAAAATAGCTTCCATTCTGAGACTATCACTGAGTGTAGTTTGGGAAAACTTGCTTCCTTCTTTTTTGCCTTTATGGTCTGCAGCAAGCTGGATTTCAAGAACATCCAGTACTGTTCCCTTTTGTGTAAGCGAAAAGCTTGTAGAAAATCCTTCTTTGGAGCATTTTTAAGGAACTTTTCTGTATCTGACAGAGAGTTTTAACTACAAATGCAGAGCAGTACTTTAAAATGAAATCTAATGCATAGAAACATTTGATATTCCAAAGATCCTATAAATTGAGTTAGTATCTATCACTGGAGCTTTCTGTTGCGCAGTTTGTCTCAAGATTTTTATGCCTTTTATCTGCTCCGCAGACTGTAGGACAGCTACATCTTCAACATGGCTTGAGGGTGCCACATTAGAAGTTACTATCTATATCCTCGATGGTTTTTGATATTAAACTTTTGAATTCTTATACATTTTATTAGTGTAGAATGGAATCATTAATTTTTATTTCTCTGGATATTAGAAAATTTGAGCATCTTTTCACATAATGTTAGTCACTTAGATTCTTTTAATGTTAATTGACTGTTTTATTGAGCTGTTTTATTTTCCTTATTGTCAATAAGGTTGCATTTATTAATTTACTTATGTTTGTTCACTTAAATTCTTGATTATACTCCCTTGGTCGTTTGGTCTTGTTTTAAAAATTATTTCTTTGTCCATGTCTTTTCTTTTAATTGTCTTTATGCTTTCTATGAACAGATTTTTTACAGGAAATGTAGTCAGATTTCTTAAACTTTACTTTCATGTTTTATATGTTTTGTACCTTTATAAATTCTCCCCTACCCAAGGCCAGAGACATGTTACCTGACAGTCTCTACTAAAAGATATTAAAATGTTGCTCTCATTTATATCTTTATTCTAAGTTGAGTTTCCATTTGTTTTTGTCAGAGCCAATTTATTTTGTAATAAGAAGATCCAGTTGCTCAGAACCAATTATCAAAGAGCTCATCATTTTATTATTGTTCTATAGAGCAGAGCTACTCATATTACATGACAAGTCTTCACATATGGGTGGGTCTGTTTCTGAGTCTAGTTGCTCTGTTTCCTTGGTTCCTTTTTCCCTGTGCCCATACTACATTACCTGAATTAATATTGCTTGATAATAAATCTTGATATTTGATGGGCAAAATCCTCCTGTTCCTTCTTCAAAATTTCAATTTTGTTGCTGTTGCAGGAAGCTGGTGAGCTTATTTCTGAGCCCAGCAATGTATTTTATTTATTATCACTTTCAGCATTTCATCCATCTTTATGGCAGATAGTTGCATCAAATCCTGTACTTACTAAGTAGTTTTGACCTTGTGAAGGACTTGATGGACTCAGTGTTGAACTTGTCCCTATATTTGGTCATGTAACTGTGGTCATAGGGGTGGTTATATTGAACAATATATGGTGCTCCCACTGTATGCTTGGAAGTGGGAGAGTGCAGGCTATGGGAATTATCAGAAAAGAATGAGTCACTAAAATCTGTGCAAACAGTTCAAATGTTTCAATACATCTGTACTACTTCTGATATCGTTGCAACCATAGTTTCAATAGTTTCCACTTGATAGTGTCAAACAGTCCAATCAATGCCATAGTACCTTTTCTAGAGCAAGGTGGCAAGATCAGATTTTAATCTTTTGAAAACATTATATTCCTTGGTTGAAGTCTCTTGCTTCTGAGAACTTATTTGTGAATACAACACAGCTTAAAATCACAGGGATAAGAAATACGTATTTTAAAAGTCAGATGTATGTTATCAGAGACACTAACTCTATCTTCACATCCTGATTTGTTGGCTCAGTATTCTAGCAAGGGAGGAACAGTCTCCTTTATCATGGATCATATTATATTATTATTATTACTATTTTTTGAGACAGAGTCTCGCTCTATTGCCCAGGCTGGAGTGCAGTGGCGTGATCTCGGCTCACTGCAAGCTCCGCCTCTTGGGTTCACGCATTCTCCTGCCTCAGCCTCCCGAGAAGCTGGAACTACAGGCGCCCGCCGCCACGCAGGGCTAGTTTTTGGTATTTTTAGTAGAGACGGGGTTTCACCGTGTTAGTCAAGATGGGGCGGATCTCCTGACCTCGTGATCCGCCCACCTCGGCCTCCCAAAGTGCTGGGATTACAGGTGTGAGCCACCGTGCCCTGCCGGATCATATTATATCTTTTAAGCTAGCTCTTAGCCTCATAATTTAGTATCTACCAGCTTGTTTAGTGAGCATTTTGTGATGTAAAATCTTTCCTTCCAGCAAATAGAGTGCATGATAGTAACAGCGAGTCCTATTGACTTGCCCCTTTTCTTTTTCCTTTCTTTTCTCCTCCTCCTTCTTGTTTTAATCTATGTTCCTGCATTGGGAGTAATGATGTGAAGAATACTCTGAGGGTAGCAATGACACTTAGCTAGGACAAGAGTAGCATGGTGCTATTTATTGAGTCATAAGGAGGATAGAAAATTATTCAAAAATGAGAATATATGATGGGGAGAAAAGCACACTGTTTATATTATTGTTACCTACATGACTAGGTTGCCTGGAAGAAATCTGGAAGAATATCAGTGACTGTCAGTTGCATTTATTAGTAAACAGAACATTTGATTGATGGAGTAGCCAGGTTCGATTGGTTAGAATATTGCATCCATGTGTAACCTTTCTTCAGGTGCCTTTGAATATTGCTAAATGGTAGGCTTTGTGAGAATAGAGGAAAACAAAACTTTAGAGTAACTAGATATAGAGAATGAAAATGTCCACTCGTCTTCTTAGTTTATATAAAACAAACTACCCTTTACCTCTCTTCACCAACACTTCATTGTATTTTTCCCAAACTATGTCTTCTAAGTTTGCTTAGAGCTGTCCTCTTTCCATTGACTTATTTATAACTTATTCTCTCCCTCCAGTGAATTCTTGAATTTACTCATCCAGTCCAGTCTCCCTCCCTCCCTTCTTTCCTTCCTTCTTTCCTTCCTTCCTTCCTTCCTTCCTTCCTTCCTTCCTTCCTTCCTTCCTTCCTCCCTCCCACCCTCCCTCCCTTCTTCCTTTGATACATAATAATTGTACATATTTATGGGGTACATGTGATATGTGGATATATGCGTACAATATGTAATGATAAAATCAGTGTATTTAGGACGTCCATTGCCTCAGTCATTTATCATTTCTTTGTATTGGGGACATTTCAAGTGCTCTCTTCTAGTTATTTTGAAATATACAATCTCAGGCCGGGCATGGTGGCTCACGTCTGTAATCCCAGCACTTTGGGAGGCCGAGGCAGGCAGATCACAAGGTCAAGAGATCAAGACCATCCTGACCGACATGGTGAAACCCTGTCTCTACTAAAAATACAAAAATTAGCTGGGCATGGTGGTGCACATCTGTAGTCCCAGCTACTTGGGAGGCTGAGGCAGGAGAATCACTTGAACCCGGGAGGTGCGGGTTGCAGTGAGCCAAGATCATGCCATCACAGTCCAGCTTGGTAACAGAGCAAGACTCCATCTCAAAAATAAATAATTAATTAATTAAACGAATTAAATAAATAAACATATGATCTATTGTTAACTATAGTCACCCTACTTTGCTATTGAACATCAGAACTTATTCTTTTTATCTAATTGTATGTTTGTACCAATTCATCAGCCTCTTTCCATCCCCTTCCCACCAATACACACCCTTCCTAGACTCTGGTATCTATCCTTCTACTTACTGACTCCATGAGATCAACTTTTTTTAGCTCCCACATATGAATGACAATATGCAATATTTGTCTTTCTGTGCTCAGTATATTTCATTTAACATAATAACCTCCAGTTTGATCCATATTGTTGCAAATGACAAGATTTTATTCTTTTTTAAAGCTGAAGAGTATTCCATTGTGTGTATATACCACATTTTCTTTTTCCATTCATCCGTTAACGGGCACTTAGGTTGATTCCATATCTTGACTATTGTGAATAGTGCTGCAATAAACATATGAATGAATGCAGGTATTCTTTTGATAGACTGTTTTCCTTTCCTTTGGATGAATACTCACTAATAGCTGGGCTCAGTGGCATGCAACTGCAGTCCTTGCTATGTGGGAGACTGAGCTGGGAAGATTGCTTGAGGTCAGAAGTAGGAGTCCAGCCTGGTCAATGTAGGGAGACTCTGACTCTAATTAAAAACAAAACAAAACAAAACTCAGTAGTGATACAACTGGATTGTATGGATTACTACTTTTAGTTTTTTGTTTGTTTGGAGACAGAGTCTCAGTCTGTGGCCCAGGCTGCAGTGCAATGGCGTGATCTCAGCTCACTGCAACCTCCACCTCCCAGATTCAAGTGATTCTCCTGCCTCAGCCTCCCAAGTAGCTGGGACTACAGGTGCGCACCACCGTGCCTGGCTAATTTTTTGTATTTTTAGTAGAGACAGTGTTTCACTGTGTTAGCCAGAATGGTCTCGATTTCCTGACCTCGTGATCTGCCCGCCTCGGCCTCCCAAAGTGCTGGGATTACAGGCGTGAGCCACCATGCCCGTCTTACTTTAGTTTTTTGGGGAACTTTCACACTGTTTTCTGTAATGGTGGTACTAATTTACATTCCCACCAATAGCGTATGAGTTCCCTGTTCTCTATATCCAGTCTGGTCTTTACACGTTACACCAATATCCAAGATGAACACACATCTTCATCTGACAGAGTTCTCTCTTCTTTGATTTAGATTTGTTTTGTTTTATTTGGGGAGTGGTTCATTTAAAAGAATGCATATTAATTATAGTGTCATTAAAGTAATCTACATTTATTTCATAAACTTTGTATTTGAGACACTGGTCAAGTAAAAAAGTTTTCCCCATTTACATTTCACTAGTTAACAATTTCTGCAAATATTCTCTGTCGGTTCACAGATAAATTTTCATTTATGTCCTTGAAAATATTTTAATAACTGTTTTAAAGTAATTGTATTCTAATTCTAACATTGTCATATATGGGTATATTTTAATTGACTGGTTTTTCTCCTAGTTGTATGTCATATTCTGCTTTATTGCATATCCAGTAATTTTTTGATTTATGGTAAATATTGTAGATGCCACCTTATTCATTTTCTGGATTTTGTTGATGTTCTTTAAAGACTGTTTAATTTTGGTCTTGAAGGCAGATAATTTTCTGGCAAATGAGCTTGAACTTGATGAGTCTTAGTTGCTTCATGTTAGGCATTTTGATTGGGATATGAAGTCATTCTCAATTTAAAGCAAACCGAACTCTATTCCTTAGACCACGTCCTTCTAGGGTCTCAACTTAGTGCCTAGCGATTCATTAAGCTGTTTCTTTTCCGGAGGTTGGACCTCCACAACCTCCTAAAATTGTGCGGTGTCCAGAATCATCATTAATCTCCCACCTCTTTATGTCTGTCCTTGGCAAAATGGTGCAGAGTACTGCCCTGAGTATTTCCAGTTTACTAGTTAGTGAAATACTCAAGGCGTCCTCTAAACAAATTTGGGGAGCTGTTTCTCTGAGTAGCTACCTTCTCTCTTTGTCTCTAAATATTGCATCTGCCTCAGTAATTCTGAACGGTAATCCTCTTTCCCTCTACACAACGGGATTGTTACTGTTTAGACTCCATTTCCTTATGCCATAATTTGAAAAATACTTGAGAACAGAAAGCTTAAATGAATGTGAAGCTCGCTGCATGTGTTTTCCTTCTCTCAAGTTTCAAAACTCCACATCTTTCCTGTCCAGTGTGTGAATTAATGGGTCGATATAATTTTTCCAGTTTAACACTTGTTTACAGAGGATGGGTTAGCTACAAACCCCTCCCTTAGTCATGGCTGGAAGCAGAAATAATCTGATAAAATATTTGATTTCAAATGTTTTTCAGTTTTGGGATTTTGATCTCATTCTTATTTAAAGTTTCCATATCTCTTCTAAAGTTTTTATTTTCTTTACTCACTAAATCCATCTTTTCCCATATAACTTTAAAATATTTGTTAGCATTATTTTACACTCTTTCTCTGATTATTATAATACATGTCATCTCTGGCTTGCTCCTAATGATATTTTTTTCCTCTTGATTATACCCCACATCTTTCTGCTTATTTGCCTGCCTATGCTTTTTAAAAAAATTTCCTACTGGTCATTTTATAGGCTAATTGTAAAGACTCTGGATTATTTTTTCTTCCTTTTAAGAATGCTAACTTTTCTTCTAGCAGGCACAATCACCTTGATGCTGTCTGCTTTGTTTTAGGTTTTGTTAAAGCACATTTAAATATGTTTTTCCTTTAATTGTACAGCGTGATTCTTACTCTTGAATTTGGTCCTAATTGCTTAAAAAATTATCATTCTGGAGTCTTATTATAAATCCCTATTAAAATCTCCTCTCAATTGATATGATAAAAAATTTAAACCTTTTTTTTCCCAGTACTGGGAATTTGCTAAAATGTTCCAACTTTCCATATGCTGTTTTCTACTGTGCCTCTTCTCATCTCATCTCATGCATGCAGAGTTGAAACGGAAACCAAAGCGGTCTCTATCTGAATGCTGAATTGAGCCTTTCTTTCTCGTTACTTTGTTCATCCCCTTTCTTCCTTCTAGCGGTCCTAAATTTGGACCATAATTCTATATCCCAAGAAGACTGATGCTTGTTGCCATTTCTGGTGTGCCACACAGACTATGGGGCACTCTCAGAGGAGAGAATGTTTGCATGTGGATCTCAGGGTCCTATCAAGACCCATCATGTATTCTCTACTCCTTTGAAAAGTATGCTATTTTAAAATTATTTTAAAGTTGCAGGGTTTGCAATGTGCACTATTCTCTTTAATATCCTCAGTGCCTCATGAAGAGCTTGGCTAGAGAAAGCAATTAATGCTTATTGAGTCAATGAAGTAATGAAACATCTATATCATATAAAAATAACAACAAAACTGTTTTATAATGGGATAGCCTTTGTATATCTTGGCTTACATATTTTGTTTCAGTTAGTGATTGCTTGTAGTGAATATTTATAATTTCATATTTCATCAGCATCCTTGTTGAATATAGGTTCGACTTCTTCATTCAAGAAGGGCTTAGTCATCCTTGACACAGTTTCAGATCCTCCACCCCCTCCTAGTTTCTCAAGGTGGTTGATCCAGATATCTGCAGTATACAACCACCTTCTGTTGACTACATCCATATCGGACAGCTAGACAAAGGCTATTTGACTGACCCCCACACCCTGCATGGATTGCACAAATATGCTGCAGTGACCACCACTCAGTCATGGTGTGGCTCCACAGGACTCATCCCTGTTCGCTCTAGACTCACCAGTTAGAAATCCCCATGGGAAACCTGATAGGGTAATGCCCTGGAGTCAGTAAAGTCTTCAGCCTTCACAGCCCTTGCTGTCTGCTGTCTCTCATGCCCCACTACTTGCTGGTTGAGCAAGCACGTCCCTGCCATCTCCCTTTTCCCATTAGTCCATCCAAGGTGTGCTGCCCTCTGCTTTCCGGGACCGGTAAGTAACATACTGCTTCTGTTTTATCATGTGTTTTGTTGAGTTGCCTCCTCTGTGTCTAAACTCACTGACACACCTGAACTTAACTCTCCTCCTAGTCAGAGCTCCTCTCCTAGAGAATGACTAGGACAAGAGCCATAAAGGCTTCTGCCAGTATAAATAAGTTTCCTGTGAGAGGGACACCTGGTCACAGGTCATTAGGCCATCCACCAGGACGAAGAAGTATCCTGTGAAAGCTAGACTATACACATCCACTTGGCCTGGGGCCCTGTCAGAACAGAGCTGAAGTTTGTAGCCCCACTCCTGAGCAAGACCTCAAGACCAAATTAGAGAAAAATACAATGGAGTTGAAAAACAAGAGTTGTTTTTCTTGATTGGCTGAATGGGCCTTCATAGGTGACGCTGTCTTAATAAGATCACCATGGACTAAAGTCTGACGCTTGACTTTATAGTAACAGAAACTCAATTTTATCCTAGTGCATTAAGAGCATGGCATTTGATGAACAGTTTGTCATAATCAAAAATACAAGGGACTAATACCTAAGCCAGAGAGACAATTTAATCGTTTTCAAAGGAGCCCATCTTTTAATAAGACCACAATATTCATAATCACAGTGCAGGGAACACTTACCAGTTTTAGAACTAAACAGTGATTAGATGCTTGGTTAAAAATTGAATTTTAGTAAAGGTATACAGAATACAATATCCTTAACAAAAAATTCCATCTAGATAATTCATGCATCAAATATGTGCTGAAGTCTTACTATGTATCGGTTACTATTATAATTGATGATCATAGTGAAATTGTAGTCAAACATACGTATCAGCTCCATTTCCTTACAGTAGAATCCTGTATGGAAAAAGGTCACATGACTGTGTCCCTTTAAAGTGATAGGTAAGTAAACAAATTCTCATGGAGTTTCCATTTTTACATTTTAAGAAGCTCAGCCTAACTCTACTAGCACAGTTTTCCTAAGGACAGAGCATGACATAGTTGGTCAGGATCACATATATTACTGTCATTACATTGCGGTCTTACTGCCCTCAGATTTTACTGAAATCACCTCGATTAGAGTTTAGTTGTTTAATAATAACTTACAGTATATCCCATTTTGTGATGTGCATACAAATGTTTTATGTATGTATTTGTTATATACATGAAACAAATTTTGGCATACATATTATGCAAAATATATATTACTAATTATAGATATATACCATGTATAAGCCTACATACATATATGCGTACATATACACACAGCCTCAGAAGGCCATTTTGGTTTTTTTACTTTCATTTTTTTTGTGGTATCAGAGTGAACAAGTAACACTATTATTTTTTCGTTAAGAAGATATTCTACTAATAAAATAACCAAGTGAATAAAAAAGAAATGAAAGATATTTAAAGAGATAAGCATCAAGAATATATCAGGAAAATTATGGTAATGGTCACTTGTTTACCTGCACATACATTTTTGGTAATTGGACATTAGGCGTCAGGCATTGTGTCCCTTGACAAATTCTCATGGAATTTTTAAAAACACCACACTACTTGATTTACTAAATAAAAGTTAAAAAATTATAAGCCATAGTATTTTATTTTATTGATGTTGGTTTTTATATTTCAGTATTTACAGAAGGTAGAATTATTATTCTTTGAAAATCTGAGCAATATAGAGCACCGTGTCTGAACAATATGCATGAACTCTCTATATAGTCAAATATTTTCTATTCTCTGTTCATAGTTAGATTTTGTGTCTAGAAAATTTTTCAACTCTACTACTACAGTGGTAGATGTCAATTACACAGATTGTGAGCCTAGTATTCTGGAAAGAGTTTTAGCTAAAGGAATAAAATTGGCAGTCTTTAGCTATTGATGATATTAAAAGCCAGAGGTCTAATAAAATGTACAAGAGAGTGAGTTAGATAAAGAGTAAATTACAAGCAATGACTGGGTCTAGTGGCACTTCTACATTCAGTATTTGGGAAAAAAGGAGATAGCTCAGAAGGAACCAATGAAACAGGAAAAAAGAAACAAGAACTAAATCAAGAAAGTACATGAAAATGTGTTGATAGATCATAACAGGAAGATCACGTATAGATCATTGCAATTTGAAACATGGATATAATTAGTGATCATAGCTGGTACTGTTTGGAAGAGTGATGAAGAGAAAGCTTGATTAAAATAGGTTTAAAGGAAATTGGGAAGAGGAAAAGCAGCCCCAGTGAATATAGAAAGTTCTTCTGGTTTTGATGCCAAGTGGAACAAAGAGATAAGACGGTAGCTTTTAGAAAAGTGAAGTTAAACAAACCCTTTTCTGTTTGTTTCTTTCTCTCTGCGTGTGTGTGTTTAAAGAAAATAGAAATAATGGTAAGCTAATGGGAATGATCTAGTTGTAAGATAATAAATGTTAATATAAACAGAGACGGATGTGTTTGTTAAAGGCTGTCCTTGAGTAGGTGAGAGCGAATGGAATAAAGTGCTCAATTGGAAAGAGTGGCGTATGGTTTTACTTTTATTTTTTTATATGCATAGATTCTGCCTTACTCACCATTTTTTTTATAATGCAAGGCAGAATAAGTTTTATTAAGCAGAATTTTTTGAAACATATTTTGACCACAGAACAATTTTAAGATTATATTGATTTGATAGGCGCACATACAAATTAATGCGTGCTTGAATTTTAGTGAGAGCCAAAATAGTTGCACCAATTTACTAGTCCTGCTGCAAAAAATCACAATGTGATTTGTTTGTTTTTATAGGTTTACTTCACAACAAATAACATATTACAGAAATTTTAATTTTACATTTTGTGAATAGCAGTATATAAATTATCAAATGGATTGCATAACTCTGACCAGTAATTATCAAATAGAGTACATCTATCAAAACCCTGGGTGATTGTGAGGTGTTGCCTGCATATGTCTGTGATGCACAGAGAGACAGAACATCTGGTTTTCACATGGCAAGGAATCATCCTAGAAACTTTCAGTAGTTACTGAGTGTGGTACAACCTTCTTTTTTTTTAATTTTTTAATTTTTATTTTTTATTTCCATGGGTTTTTGGAGAACAGGTGATGTTTGGTTACATGAATAAGTTCTTCAGTGGTGATTTCTGAGATCTTGGTGCACCCATCACCGGAGCAATATACACTGTACCCAATTTGTAGTCTTTTTTTTGTCTTTATTTTTTATTTATTTTTTTTTTTTTGAGATGGAGTCTCACTCTGTCACCCAGGCTGGAGTGCAGTGGCACAGTCTTGGCTCACTGCAACCTCCACCTCCTGGGTTCAAGCGATTCTCCTGCCTCAACCTCCCCAGTAGCTGGGACTACAGGCGCATGCCACCACACCCAGCTAATTTTTGTATTTTTAGTACAGACAGGGTTTCACCATGTTGGCCAGGATGGTCTCCATCTCTTGACCTTGTGATCTGTCCACTTCACCTTCCAATGTGCTGGGATTACAGGCATGAGCCACTGCGCCTGGCCCCAGTTTGTAGTCTTTTATCCCTCACTCCTCTCTCATCCTTTTCCTGGAGTCCCTAAAGCTCTAAAGTCCATTGTATCATTCTTATGTCTTTGCATCTTCATAGCTTAACTCCCACTTATGAGAGAACATAACGATGTTTGGTTTTCCATTCCAGAGTTACTTCACTTAGAATAATGGCCTCCAATTCCATCCACGTCACTTTGAATGCCCTTATTTTGTTCCTTTTTATGGCTGAGTACTATATATATCACAATTTATTTATCCACTTGTTGAGTGACGGTATATGGTTTTAGATCAAGGGCTCTCAATCTGTGTTTGTATGTGTATGATCATGAGTGTGTGTGTGCTCATGGATGTGTGGGTGTGTGTTTACACTCCATGGACCCATTGAAGCTCTGTAGATACCTATGGGCTCCTTATAATTAATAATTCTAAATGCATAAAATGAATTACATAAGATTATAAAAAATTAAATTCAAATACAGTCATCAAAATATTTTAAACAATTTATAATATGTTAATATATGCTCATTTTTAATTATTTAAATAAGGAAAACAACATAATGTCAACAAATTAAATTTAACTTTATTATTTTAGGGAATGTAAATTTGAAGGTTACTTTTGCTTAGCTTAAATGTTAGCTATAATGACTTTGCATGACAGTGAAAAGAGTTGAAGACATTTCAAGATACCTGTACCATCTGTAATATGATATAAAAATATTGGTGATAAAGCCACACTGTCTGCTAATACAACCATAGTTTGTTACCTACATTTATTACACAATTGAAGGAAATGCTCATTTTTGTCAGTGATTAGTAACAAAGATAAAAATAGGCTTAGTTTTTCCTCCCTCCTATCCAAGTTTATCGACTGTGTGATTTCTATCCAGACGCCATGATCCCAGGTTAAGATTACATGGGATCATAGCATGCATTCTTAGTTCAACTATCATAAGAGGAAGAGAGTCTGAATATGGTATGGGAACACCAGAGCCGCATGTACACAGATGTGATTCAGGGAGTCTTCATATTATTATTTTAATTTTCTCAGTTAAAAAGAAAGCATTGTCCTCAAGATTGAAGATGGGGAGGAGGTGCTGGAAATAGGAAGATGGGAAAAAAATGTGGAATAGACATTTGAGGTTTTCAAGACTGAAATTGACTAGTGAAGCCAGATTCAGTACCCAATCAGTTGTCAAGTGGTCTCAGTCAGCGTATTTATGTATTTATCTATAGCCATGTTTATCTTCATCATACATGCATGAGACAGGTGGAAATTCATATTTAATCTGGGTTATAATTTTGGTAAGGGAATATAATGAGGGTGCACATGAGGAGTGATGAATATCGGGAGTGATTATGATATAACTATGATAATGATTAGAAAGGTATATAACTATAAAATATATAATAATTGGCAGATGATATAAATACATAATAGTAATGATATATAATACTCATGCAATCTTATGGTATGTAATACATTACACAATGATACATAATAATACTGTGTTATCAAATAATGATGTGATGACGATCGATGACAATGATGGTATAATGCTCTGGGCATGGTCAGTGTGATGTTGGCCAGCTCTGCTACTTTTCTACCCGTTTACAGGGATGAAGGCGTATGTTAGGCCGTAAGATAGCTTTGCTCTCCATTTGACTGAAACAGCCATGTCAATACCCTCCTATGTAACATCATTAACACATTACTAGGATGTTCTTTGTCATAATTTACAATTGTTTCTGTGAAATTCACTGATATAAGACGTCATAGATACACTGTATTTTTATTTAAGAAAGCATACAGCTACAACATAGAAAAATATTTCTTACATTCTAGCTTCCCTTTTCCCTATTGCAGTGGATCTCTGTCAAAACTATAAAATTTGACTGGGCGCAGTGGTTCACACCTGTAATCCCAGCACTTTGGGAGGCTGAGGCTGGCAGATCACTTGAGGCCAGGAGTTCCTGACCAGCCTGGCCAACATGGTGAAACCCTGTCTCTACTAAAAATACAAAATATTAGCCGAGCGTGGTGGCTTGTACCTGTAATCCCAGCTACTTGGGAGGCTGAGGCAGGAGAATCACTTGAACCCGAGAGGTGGAAGTTGCAGTGAACTGAGATTGCACCACTGCACTCCAGCCTGGGCAACAGAGCAAGACTCAGTGTCAAAAATAAAATTAGAAAAACTTTTTGTTGGTACCAAACACATGAAGACCTTCCAACTTCTGTTTCCCTCTGGCTCACAAATTACCACTGTAAGCAAATACTCAAAATAGCTAGCAATGTTCTTGAAGACCTTATGGTTTCTGTTAATCTGTGTGTATTTTGCAAAGTTATGCTGTATTAAGCCAAATTATTATATTATTTTCAAGTTTTTTAAAGTCAATGTTTTAAAAATAAAATTTAGAATACTCAAGCTTAGTTATGCATATATTCAAATCAATTGTATACATGCACAAATTATATGAATCTAGAACTTAACTATACATTTTGTAACATATTGTAAATTCCTGATAAGCCCACGCCTATTTAGTAAATATGTTGGTAACTGGTGGTTTTAGAAAAGAATTTTAAAATCACCCTTTCAGTATTATATGTTGCACCAATGTGATAATGACATTTTTGAGGACCATACATTTAGATTTTAATCTTATTTTGTCTCTAAGGTGAAAAGGCTTGTGGTATCAAGCTAAATGTTGGGGGATGACAGAAAAGACAAAAAGAGTTTAAAAAATATCATAGTGGTTGAAACTCTTAGCCCTTCCATTTTCTTTCTTTTAGTTTTGCTTTCACAACCATAGGACCAGAAAGTCAAAAAACTGATTAGATATGTGGGACAAAAAAAAAAATGACTCACATAAATCCCATTTGAATAAATTAATGGAATGCTTGTATTTATATATTGAGATTAAATATTGAATTTGTACCCAGACCCAGAGACCCATCAGCCACTATTTTAAAGCACTTGTACTTTGCAAAATGGAACAGGCCACTTTATGGCAAAAATCTATTTAATTCTAATGGTTTTAGCATATTTTAAGGAAAGTCACTGCATCAAATATAATCATATTTTCAAATAAAGAATTACTATGTAAAATAACTTTTATAAGTCTGAAATTATTCAGTACGGCACACATGTTGGAGGTAATTCCATTATCCTGATTAACATCTAGTCTTAATTTTATTGGTATGTTTTCTTCTTGTTATAGTTCTTATGTTATTTTTTAAAAAATTACCAGGAAGCCACAGTCTGTCAGACTATACTAAGAACTAATGTAAATTATAATTCAGTAAGGGAGTAAAATTATTAAGGTAAGCAAGAATTGAATACATAATTGCCAGTTGTGAACAGTGCTAGAAAAGATAAGCAGATAATAGGTCAAAACATGAGAGCGCTTATTCTGATTACAAAATGGCAAGTGGGGACGTTAAAAAGTTGAGAAAGGTAGAAGACAGAGATCTGAGACCTACAGGCTATGGCAGGTTTTTTAGTTTTACACTATGTGGTTGGGAGTCATCAAATGCTTAAAAGGTTGCAGCAATAACTTCTTGGTGAAATTTGAAGTCAAGGAAGGTGACTACCACCATGACTAAAACTAATCCCAGTTCAACTCCTGATTAGACTGATTAAATTCACAATACTATTGTGTTGGGAGAAGAGGAGGCATGGAAAATGATTTCTCTGTCTCTAGTGTCCTACACAGCATGTTCAGCAATCCTTCAAAATTTACACACACACACACACACACAAAACAGTAAAAACAGACTGATAAGAGAAGGAATAGTCATCTGAAGCTAGCCCAGATATGTATGACCCAGATACAGTGGAACTATCCTCAAAGGACTACAGAATAACTGTGAGTAGTATCTCAAAGGATTTAGAGGAAAAGACTAACAATATGCAAAAATAAAGTTAAGTGGTTTAACTGATAAGCAAGTAGTGGATGAAAATGGAGTACAATTAATGTTCAAAATGATCCAAAGGATAAAGAGGAAAAATCAAACAAAAAGTAGAGGGGAGAAATGAAAAACTGCACTAACTCTAGTTGTCTAAACATGCCAACTCAAAAGGCGAAATTGTTAGATTGAATTAAAAGTGAGAACAAATTACATACTGTCTATAAGAAACTCATTAAATGTAGACACACAAAGAAGTTAAAGGTAAGGGGATAGAGAGAGATACGGCACAAAAGAAAGATGGAGTGGCAATATTAATTTTAGATAAAGGAGACGTTTGAACTAAGAGTCAAGGTAGCAGGAAGGCATGGTAATGCTTAACGTGTATGCACCTATCAAAAGAACTTTAAGATTCTTGATCCAGCTGTGATTGAACTTAAAATGAGATTTTTTTTAAATCCAAAACTGTAGTTAGAGACTTTAACACTCCTCTGTTAGTGATTGGTAGAAGTAGAGAAAAAATTAGAACCCACATTTCAGAGGAAAAATTATAATAGAAACTTCCATACTGTTCTCCATAGAAGTTCTGTGCAATACTGTCAGTTTAACCTTCTTTAAATATGGGATAATTTGTAGAATAAGGCAGAACCTTTTGTTTTAGAGTATTCTTTATTTTAATTTAGAGATTTTTTTTCTGATTACAAAATCAGTCTATGTTCATGTTTAAAAAATAGAAAAACATATAAAGAAAATAATTAAAAATCCACTAATTCATCTCATAAAAATAACCAGGAGTTTCTGGTTCCAAAATGGTGGTGTGGGAGCAAGCTAACTTCACTGCCCTCCATAGAAGACCCAAACAACATATACAGCGCCAAGGTTAGCACCAGCAATATCCCAGTACTCGAATATAAGGATAAGACAACTCTTGGGGCCACAGAGAAGTGAAGAAACTGTGAGCACATGGTAAGAGAATGAGACTTCCATACGTGAGACGCCTTTCCTCCCATCTTCCAGACACCATGCATGTGGACAATGTTCTCGTACTCATCTCACAGTTTTTACACTAGAAAAAGTGAGATCAGGGTGGACAGTTTCCCCACCATCTTGTGTTCCCTGGAGGAAGACCTGTGCCTGCCTTAACCCACAGGAAGCATTGTGACTGCCCAAAGGGAGAAATCTCCCTAAGGACAGCCAGAGACAAAGCAAGGAGGTGGAACTACCATTCTCAGCCCTGGAAACTTTGCTCTGTACCTCAGCCAAAGGAGATGCCAAATCAGAATGTCTGTTCAGCACCATCATGCTGTAGGAGGCACATTCCACAGGGCTCCTGGAACAAACCCCTAGCCAGCCTTCCCACACGGCCAGGACATCCCCTTTGGTACCTCCCACATTTGGGATGGGCAGCACTCTGATATTATTCTCTTGGAGCTATTTTGAAATATACAATAGATTATTGTTAATTATAGACACCATGCTCATCTATCAAATACCACCAGGTCTTGTTTATTCTACCTAACTCTATATTTTTATCCATTAAATCAACCTCTCTTCATCCTTCCCTGCTACTCTTCTTAGCCTCTGATAACCACCAATCTACTTTCTATCTTCATAAGATCCACTTCTCTTGCTACCATATATGAATGAGAACATGCGATATTTGTCTTTCTGTACTTGGCTTATTTCACATAACATAATGACCTCCAGTTCCATCCATGTTGCTGCAAGTGACAAAATTTCGTTAAATTTTTTGATGAATAATATTCTGTTTGTCTTTATACCACATATTCTTTATCCATTTATCCACTGATGGCTGCTTAGGTTGATTCCCCTCTCGGCTATTGTGAATAGTGTTGCAGTAAATATAGGAGTGCAGACATCTCTTCAATATATTGATTTTCTTATTTTTGTTTGTTTTGATACATACCCAGTAGTAGAATTGCTGTATCCATACAGTAGTTTTGTAGTTTTATTTTTAGTTTTTTGAGAAATCTCCATACTGTTCTCCATCGTGGCTGTACTGACTTACATTCCCACCAACAGGTTATGAGGGTTCACTTTTCTCCACATTTTTGCCCATTTTAAAAATTGTATCATTTGGTTTTTTCTATTGAATTGTTTGAGTTAATCTCTCATCAGATGGATTGTTTGCAAGTATTTTCTCCCACTCGGTAGGTTGTCTCTTCGCTTCGTTGATTTCTTTGCTGTGCAGAAGCTTTTTAGCTTGATGTAATCTCATTAGTCTATTTTTTCTTTTGTCATCTGTGCTCTTGTGGTCTTACCAAAAAAATTTTTGCCCAGACTAATGTTCTGAAGTGTTTCCCAGATGTTTTCTTCTGGTAGTTTTATGGTTTCAAGGACTTAGGTTTAAGTATTTAATACATTTTGATTTGATTTTTGTATATGGTGAGAGATAGGGGTCTATTTTCATCCTTTTGCATACAATTATCCTGTTTTCCTAGTACTATTTATCGAAGATACTGCCTTTTCTCTACTGTGTGTTCACAGCACCTTTGTTAAAAATGAGCTGGTTATAAATGCCTAGATTTATTATGTATCAAGGGTCTCTATTCTGTTCCATGGGTCTATGTGTCAGTTTTCAGGCCAGTAGCATGTCGATTTGTTTACTATAGCTTTGTAGCATATTTTGCAGTCAGGTAACGTGATGCCTCCAAATTTGTTCAGGATGGGTTTGGTTATTTGAGGTCCCTTGTGGTTCCGTATAAATTTTAGGAATGTTTTTTCTATTGCTTGAAGAATGTTGTGGAGACTGAAGCAAATCCATCTTGGATACTAAACTGCCATGTTAGTTTCTGATTAACCCCAGGTCTGGGAAGCCCTCTGACATTTCCAGTTTATCTATTGCTCCTTGTGTAAGAGCACATACTGTAAATTCTGCCCAGAGAGCAAGTCAACCTTGATAAACTCATACTTACCATAAATCTGGCCTTTAGAGCAAATTCCTTCCCATTCCCTCTGGAGCACATGTGCCCCTCCCCTACTGTATATAATCCCTGGATCCGAGAGGTAATAATGCTGTGAACCACCACCTTGTCTTGCTATATATGCTCAATTTTCTTCAGACTTTCGGCTTCCTCAGAGTATGGGGTAGGCTTTCATAGACTTGCCTACTGCAAAACAAATGTGATTAATATTTTGATAGAGATTACATTGAATATGTAAATTATTGTGGTAGTACTGTCATTTTAACTGTATTAATTATTCCAATCCATGAGCATGGACTCTCTTTTCATTTTTTATGTCCTCTTTAATTTCTTTCATTAGAGTTTTATAGATTTCTTTGTATAGATCTTTCACATTTTTGATTACATTGATTCCTAGGTATTTTATAATCTCTGCAGCTATTGTAAAGGAGATTGCTTTTTTATTTCTTTTCCAGACTTTTCACTGTTGACATATATAAATGCTACTGATGTTTGTGTGTTTATTTTGTATCCTACAAATTTACTGAATTTCTTTATCAGTTCTATGTCAAGCCTCAAGGAAGACGGCATTGCCTGTGGAACATCGTGCTTTTTACCACCTGGGCTCCATGTTATGCTCTTTTTTGATGAGTTCTCTGTTTCCTTGTACAGACAGACCGGTGGACTTGACAGATTTTTTGAAACTTGCTCACCTTGTGGCAGCATCAACGAGTATATAGGCCAGGCATGGTGGCTCACGCCTGTAATCCCAGCACTTTGGGAGGCCAAGGCGGGGGATCACGAGGTCAGGAGCTCGAGACCAGCCTGGCCAACATGGTGAAACCTCATCTCTACTAAAAATACAAAAATTAGCCGGGTGTGGTGGTGGGTGCCTGTAATCCCAGCTACTCAGGAGGCTGAGGCAGGATAATTGCTTGAACCTGGGAGGCGGAGGTTGCAGTGAGCTGAGATGGTGCCATTGCACTCCAGCCTGGGTGACAGAGCAAGACTCCATCTCGAAAAAATAAAATAAAATAAAATAGGTGGCAGAAGAAGCTTATAGAAGTATTGCAACATTATAGAAAAGTTGAACACAAATGTGAAATTATATTCAGTTTGAAAAAATTACTAGATGATAAAAAAAACTTGTAGATTTCCTTAATTCAGAAACCGGCCAAGTGGCTGAAATGTTTGCTTGATTGTGAAATCAGTGAACTCCATCTAGACAAGGAAAAGCCTAAAAGATCAGTCGACCTTGATGTTCAAGTCTTAGATTTGAATAGTACATTTCTTAAGGGAACCAGTATTCCCAAGATTGATAGTCATGTCTTCCCAGTACAGTGGATATCATGTAACAGTTGATAGTCTACATGAGGGAGCACTAGATGACTTGGTTTCAGAAGCTTCTTACACAATTTTTCTTTATCCCAATTCTGGTCAATTGAAGAACTGCTCAGCAATAGAGATCTTCTGGTAGTGAGTCAGGATATTTTACATTTTCCCACAGGGCTTTCTAAAGAATCATAGCCAAAAACCCAGACTGTCATTCATGCCCTTAAGAAACTATCTGACAAACTTTCTGAAAGGACTAAAAAATATTTGAGATGATACGAGGGATAAAAATGTATCTAAATCTTCAAAATTCTGAATTAATGCCTTGGGATCTTCCTGCTACGATGGTGTGATTTATGCCGAGGGGCAGTATGACATTGTGCCCAGTTTATCTTGCACGTTTTTCTCCCATGGAACACGAGTGGAAGGTCTGAATGGTTTGTTTAATAAACTGTGAGAGATTTTGTTGTCTGAACAGTGGTCTGAAAAAGGGAGATGTGTGGTGTGAAAATGTTTGAAAACTGGCTGTGTTGGTGAATCCCAAGGATTGTTGGGATACATCTGTGACTTCTTTTCAGCAAAATGACAGACTACATCAAGATTACCATTTTACAATTCCTGGAGGCACATTAAAGGAAAATGGAGACTATCAACTCCCAGGCATACTTTTCATGCTTAGTCATCTCCATTCTTCTAAGAAATTCACCAACTTTATTAACTCCTGAAATGGTAGAAAATCTCTCTTGTGAAATGGGCTATGCCATATAGTCTATGCAGGGATGTAGTCATTACCAACACATCACTGGGACAGTGTGGCCCACTGCTTATGCTGACATTCCTTCTCTTCTAATGGAGTATTTTGCAAATGATTATGGAGTGGTTAACAAATTTGCTAGCCATTATCAAACTGGGCATCTACTGTCAATGGGTGTTTTGACTTTGTGAATATAAAAATGTTTGTGCTGCAACTGCTGTGCAAGTTCAGGTCTTTTAGGTGACTCTGGATCAAATCTGCCCTGGGAAAGCATTCCCTGAGGAAGTTAACCACAGACATTCTCAAGAAAATGCAGGGGAAATTTTATGGCCCACGATGTATTCTAATTACTGCCTGGCAGGTGAGATTTGACCACTTTCTAGGCAAATATTACTCTTACCTGTTGTCCAGGGCAGCACCTTCTATGGTTTGGAAGGTATGTTTTCTGTAGGACTTCTTTTAACAAGGCTACAGTGAGTGCTATTGCAGGGAGATGCTGGCACCTGATAGTGGCCAAGAGCCCATACTCATGGTTCCATGAGCTCAAAAGTGTTCTGTTGTTAAGTATGTTTGGGAAATTCTATGTAAGCTTTGAAGGTTCACTGTTCACATCAGAAGTCCTACAATCACAACGTTTATTTAGCATTTTAGATTATTATAAATATAGGAAACCCCAAAATGCTTTACCTACTGTCACATACCACTTAGCTCACTTCTGACACCCGATGTTATAAGGGTTGTTTCCTTCCATACCAGGCAATTCTCCAGTGGAAACCAACTGGATGTCCTATAATTTAACTCAACTCTGATCCTATCTACCTGGAGATGGTGTCAGATACCACAAGTTAGAGGGCTCAGTTCCAAAAGACTCCCCCCATACTTCAGATGCCAAATGTAAATATGGGTTGTTACCTACACGTCTGACCATAAATCAGGGTTCACGTGACCCCCTTCTTGCATTTGATTAATTTTCTAGGACAGCTCACAGAACTCAGGGAAATGCTTATTTACATTTACCAGTTTACGATAAAAGATATTAACAGATGAACAGCCATATGAAAGAGATGCTTAGGGTAAGATAAGTGAAAAGGACATGGAGCTTCCATGCCCCTACAGGTAATTCCACTTGTTCACTGTCTAGAAGATCACCTAACTCAGTCTTTTTGGGTTTTTATGGAGGCTGTATTATGCAGGCATTATTGATTAAATCATTGGCCATTGGCAATCTACTTAACCTTCATCCTCTTCTTCCTGGAGCTTACTGGTTGTGGCTTAAAGTCCCAACCCTTTAGTCATGCCTTGGCATTTCTGGTGACCAGCCCCCATTCTGAGCTATATAGGGGACCACAACCCCAGTCATCTCATTAGCGCACAAAGGACACTCATCACTATGGCAATTTCGATAATTTTAGGAGCCGTATGCCAGGAAATAGGGATTCAGACCAAATAGATATTTCACAATATCACATGTATGTAATCCAATATTTACCACAAATATTTGACTATAGGACTCACATTTTTTTTGAATAACTATTGATGAGATTTTTCAGAATATGGAAAAATCAATGCTAATAACATTCAGACAGAAATAACAGGTTAACATCTAAGGAAACAAAACTGAAGGTGATTGCAGAATGCAGTTGTACATCCCCATTAAAAGCCAAAGGATAATGAGCAAAAATTTGCGGTAAAAACCTGAGATGCAAAATGACATTCTCAGATACACCAAGGTTCCAGAAACATTTCAGTTTTGTACTTTTTAAAAAAAGAAAAAAAAAAAAAACAGCTTAAAGAATAAGTCATTTTGACCAAGAGTCAAAGTGAAGGAAATTTCTAAGGAACTGCTAAGAATGCAGGGAGTTCACTGCCACTATTCTTGATAACACCTAGATAAATCATAATAGTGAATTGTTTTATTATGAATGTTTTTCTTTATGATGTGAATAAACCCATAAGAACAGAAGCAGTTCCTCTGGGAAAAATTCTCCCCTGAGGTTATGTTTTATTCCCAGCTTCCAAACATCCACCTTAAAGTGCTTGTGAGTATATAAACACTAAAGCTAATCTAAAAAAAGAACTCGAAGATAATGAATAACATGTTGAATTGTAAAAAAAAAAAAACAAAAAACAAAGAAATCAAGAACAGCTAAATCAATGAATCCAAATACTGGTTCTTTAAAAATATCAGTGGAATAGATAAAGCTTTAGCCAGAACAATAAAAAAAAAGATAATAAAGACAAAAATTGCAACATCAAGAATAAAGAAGGGAGTGGGAAATATCACTACACATATTATACATACTACAAATACAATAAAACAAGTTTATGCAAAACATTGTCAATAAATTAGACAACATGAATAAAATGGTCAATTTTTTTTCCAAAACTAACAATGGTCATAAATTTCAGTCTTGAAGAAATAAATTACCTGAAGCAATGACTACATCTATTTATACAGATTAATGCTTAAATATTAATTATATATATTATGTATATATAATCTCCTCAATGAAAATTCAAGTCAGACAGCTTCACTGGCAAAGTTATGACCAATAGTTAAGGAAGAAATAATACCAGTTCGGCACAATTTAAACAGAAACTTGAGGAAGAGAGATGGCTTCTCATTTCATTTTATGAGGCCAGCATTACTCTGTTACCCAATCCAGACAAAAATTTGAGAAAACTTCAATATACCCCGTGAATAGACACAAATATTTTTTAGAAATTATTAGCAAATCAAATCTAGCAGTATTCTCAAAGGATGCTAAATTGTCACCAGGTAAAATTTTTCCTAGAAATAAATGTTTTAATATTTGAAAATCAATCAATACAATTCACTATATCTACACACAAGGTGATTCCAAAATTTATATGCAAACGCAATGGACCTAGAATAGCAAAAATAATTTTGAAATAAAACTAAATATACAATTAATAGATAATATACTTAATTATATACTTACTACAAAGGTACAATAATCAAAATAATGTATTTTCAGGAAAGGGTAGATATTAATATATAGATCAATGGAAAGGAATAGAGTCCAGATGTAAACCTCACATATATATGGTTTGGTCCATTCATTGTTACAAAGTGACAAAGTGAATAAATTGGGTAAAGAGAGTCTTTTTAACCATTGGTGCCAGACTATTTGGAAGTTCAAATGCAAAATAAATAATAATGATAATAATTTTGACTATTACTACACATATCATATAAAAATAATTTGAAATGAATTAAAACCTAAATGCAAGAGCTAAAACTGTAATTCTTACAGAAGGAAATGTAGAAGAGTATCTGTGTGATCTTGGCATTAGCAAATAGATCCTCTTAATATATAAAAATTCCAAATAATAAAAGAAAAAATGATAAATTTGACTTTATCAAAATCAAAATCTTCTGTTCTTACAAAATGTTGTTAAGAAAATGAACAGCTAAGCCCCATATTTGAAGTCAATATTTGTGAAATATATATTTTATAACATATTTGTATCTGAAATATGTAAAGAACCCTTACTACTCAATAATAAAAGACAAGCCAATTTTTATGAGATATTTGGCCAGATAGTTTATCAAATCAGAAATGCAAATTGGCAATAAGCATAGGAAAATATTCTTAACCTTATTAGCCATCAGAGAAATGCACATTAAAACACAGAATTATGCCAATTTACACTCAATAAAATGGTAAAAATCTACAACACCAAGTCCTGGCAATAATGTGGAACTACAAGGTATTTCATATATTGCTAGTGGGAATGCAACATTTAATAGCCACTTTGGAAAATTCTTTAGCATGTCAGGTAGACATGAACTTACTATCTCATCTAACAAACCTGTTTCTAGGTAAATAATGGAAAAACACTTAAAATGAAAAGTGACTAGAACTACTGATAAATACATCGATATGAATGAACCTCAAATACCTAATTCTAAATGAAAACCCAGAAGCAAAATGCTACATTAGGTATGAATTCCATTTATATAGCGTTCTGGAATAGGAGCATTTTTACAATGGAAAAGAGATTAGTGGTTGCCAGAAGCTGGGTTTGGAAAAGGAGATTGATTCCCGAGCGTCATGAAAAAATTTCAGGGGCTTACGGAAATATTCTATATCTTGATTATTTTGGCAGTTACATGACTGTATGTGTTTATTCAAATTCATGAACTGTATACCTCACTATACCTCTCTTAAAAATTTAACTCCACGGGTCTACTTTACAAAAGCAGCCACCAAAGCTAGAAGTTATTGTAGTTACTGCTTTCTTGAGCATATTTGGTGATAATTTTGGAGGTTTAAGGGTGGGTGTAAGGGATCACTAGAATGAATAAAAGCTGTGAAATGTGTTGATTAATTATTGCTTATTAACCCCAATAAGCAGAAGCTTTGGAGACTTTTAATTAAAGTTACAGGCCAAAAACCTCTGTATTTCACTAGGTTGTAACGCTCGTTAAGAAAAGAACTGTCTTTTTTTGTTACTCTCTTTGGATTTTTTGCTGGGGAGGTCCTTTTTTGTATTGCTATAGACAAGTAGAGCAGCAGGTGCTTAATAAATGTTTATTCAATGAACGGAAAATGCAAATGAATGCATTTAAGAGTTATAATTGTGAAATTAATCAAGATTGCTAGAAATGAATATTTCAAGAGGCTGATATGGCCTACAAGAAAAAGTTCATTAGGGTACTTTAGTGACTGTATTTCAGTATTGTCGTTTTCAGTTGCTGGAATAAAGGATGGCAGCAGTTGCATACTCCACAGAAGGGATTTTTCCAACATCTGAAGGTATTTTGGGTTGAAACAACAATTAAGGAGTGCTATTGACATTCGGTGGATGTGGGCCAGGGATGATGTTTTCCCGCAGTGCCTGTGATAATTCTGAACAATTCAATATCATAGCGTGTCTTACTTGATTTTCGAATGTCATGCAGATGAAACGCCTCTTTATAATTATGTGAATTTAGAAATACTTCATTTTAGATATGCAAAGAACCTTTGTGCACAATCTAATGCACTCTGAACTTTCCATGAATGCAAACATCATGCAAATTGAGACAAAAGTTCATTGTTTTTATTCATAATTTTATTGAGGAGTATTCACTATTGAGAAACATCTTTTAACAGTTGTCAATGCCATGCATATTATTTGAGTCACCGACAAACTGTAACTACATAAGAATGCATTTGTAGTTACAGCATTTACAGTGACACATAAGTGCAAGTATGTGATTTTCATTAGAATTTTTTTGAAATGGTCTTATCCAGCATTTACATATGGAAAACAAAGTCTATTTTATAAATTGTTTTTTTCCTTTTATCCTTTATACTACAGTTTATATATTACGTTGATTTTCCTAAAATTACATACTTAGATAGGTATATGTATATTTTGCATACATTTCATATTGGCCTAAGAAGGCATTACATCTGATAATGCTGAGAACAACTTATATGTGATCACTAAGTTCCTTAATATTTCTCTGCAGTGACTATGTATGGCACAAGCCCAATCATCCTACGTTTTGTTTTCCTATTTTAGTTTTTAATTTGAAATAGTCTCGATCCAGATCAAACATTGTATTTGTCATATTTAACTATATGAAAATGGTAAAGGAAGGAATAGCACAACCTTTCCGAAGGAATTAAACCACAAGTTGCAAATAATTATGATTTACAATTCACATGACCTTAAATATATCAGAATATTTAAAGTCTTAAAGCCAGCATTAGAAAACGTCATTTGAGCCACGTAATAAAAGAAAGAAGATAATACCAAAGGAAAATGGAAAATGATGGGAAAAGGATTTGGTATAGAGGGAATCAATTATATTAGTAATTGATCTTGTGGAGAAAGTAATGCTAAATAACAGAGGAATACCTAAGGTAAAATTCAAACTTCCTATTGTTAAATAAAAGTCTTTCTGTATTTGTCTTTTCTTTACCTTTCTAATATCTTTTGCTACTAATTTACTCCATTAACCATTTTTAACATTCAGAACAGAACATTTTGCCCCTTTTACTTCGTTATTTATAGATGCTCCTCGATGTATGGCGTGTGATGACGTGATAATCCAATGGTAAATTGAAAATATGGTGAATCGAAAGCTCATTATTGACTTACGATATTTCCGATTTATGATGGGCTTATCTGGATATAACCCCATATTAAGTTGAGGAGCATACTGAATGCACATTGCTATTGCAACATCATAAATTGAAAAATTGTGAGTTGGACCATCATTAAATGAGGAAATATTTGTGTTTCCCAATATGTTCTGTAGTTAAGTATTGGTCTAATTGCTAGGAATATAGCAATGTACTAAACACAAAAAAACACTGACTTTATAGACCATATATTCTAGCAAGAAAGAGAAAAGTAAATAATTTGACCATAAAATATAAGTTCAGTGCTAGGACAACTGATAAAAGAGAATGAGGAGGCCGGGTGCAGTGGACCATACCTGTAATCCCGGCACTTTGGGAGGCCATGGTGGCAGGATTGCTTGAGGCCAAATGTTGGAGATAAGCCTGGGCAACGTAGTAAGATCCTGTCTCTACAAAAAATTTTCAAAGTAACCCACCATGGTGGTATGCACCTATATTTCTAGCTAACTAAGAGGCTGAGATGGGAGGATAGCTGGAGCCCTGTAGTTCAAGGCTGGAGCTGTCATCGTGTGACCACATGCCAGCCTGGGTATCAGAATGAGACCCTGTCTCAAGAAAAATAAAAGGAGGAAAATAATGGAGGGGGTTGCTATCATAGATAGAGGATCAAGAAGCCCTTTCTAAAACAGGGGCTGTTGGACAGGCACATGAATGGAAGGAATTGGGGTCATATGGATCTCAGGAGACAGAGAGATAGCAGACTCAAAAGGTTTGAGACAGCAATGTTCTTGGCACATTTAGAGAACTACCCAGAAGCGGGTGCCTTGAGCTCACGTGAGAGATAATAAGTGCAAATGGGAGGGTATAAGCTTTGGAGAGCTTTGGAGATGTAGCCCATTAGGGATAAAAATTAAGGAATAAGAAGAAATAAGAAGAAAATGAGGCAGCAAGAAATAATTTGCAAGTTAATATAAACTCTTTCCAGGAAGCCAGAGAAAGTGAACAGTCCCATAAACAAACTTACTCCAATTTTCCAATCCAGTTACTCTCAACTCAAACATTCAGTGAGGCCAGCGTTAATGTTTTGAAGAAATTAAATCCTTGTTCTATTAAGAAATTGTCATTTTGAAACCAGTGGTTGCACACGTACACTTTAAAAATACAGATGAATGTTTTATTAGGCTTCGACTGTTCATTAAGAAAGCTAATTATATAAGGCTAATAGCAAATTTTATAGTCATATGAAGTTCCTTCAGCTGAGTTATATGTAATATCAAATTAGAAATTTTGCTTTGAAAAGGAAATAGCATTCTATTTTTCAAACAATTAGAAAGAAATATTGTATTTGGTACATCAGATGGTAAACATTAACTATCTTTTAGGTATATATGTGTTTTACATGTGTGTCTGTCTGAGTGTAGGTGAGTTTCTTTCATATATTGAAAGCAAATTTTTGTGTCCATGTTACCTAGAGTATACATTTCTAACACAACTATTAGGTAATGAAATGTCATGAATTACAAGTAATTTTATGGCTACATTGTAAAAAATGATTAAACAATTAAATGCCTAAATGAAACAATAATGTCAATATTTCCAAAACCAAGCTAATTGTCATTCCTTTAAAAAACTGCTTTACTAATTACTCTATTTAACTCATATTTTGCCAGACCAAAAATCATGATAAGACACATTATTTTAATAACAATAATAGAGTCAATGTTTTTTCTGACCTTGTCCAGATCTAAAAAACTTTCTAAATTATGTTCAGGTAATTTCTAAGTTTCCCACATATACTGTCAAACATGTTTTGTTGTTGTTGTGGTCTTGTTTGTTTTTTTTTTTTTAATCAGTGATGTTCATATGTATCGCTGTTTCTTCTGATGCAAACTCCTCCTTCATTACCCAATAGGTTTCAACTATCTGCATTGGAAGATACCTCCCATTCAAACCATGTGAGTCTTCATTCTAATCCACAGTCTTCCTGTGTTTGTCAGGGCTCAGACAGGATCTTAAAGATATCAGCAATAAGATTATTTTCTTCCTGAAGCTTCCCCTGGTTTGTGGAAGCTGGACTAATAGATTCTCCAAGTAATATGTACTGTGTTATATACAAATGTAAACCATTCCCTCTGAGTTTAAACGTGGTCATTCCACCAAACTGGTGCACATCAAATCTCCATTAGATTGAGCTTCTTACCATGAAAATCCCTAGTCTATGAGTATATCTCTGAATGAATCAAAATGATTGAAAT
The DNA here is from genome assembly GCF_000001405.40 of Homo sapiens. NCBI lineage: Eukaryota > Metazoa > Chordata > Mammalia > Primates > Hominidae > Homo > Homo sapiens. The sequence continues at coordinate 238,769,321 of NC_000001.11, read as the reverse complement.
GTAGCCCCAAGTCAGTCAAAATGATTAAACCTCAAGCATCCACATCACCCTAGCTTATAAATCTAGGAATCTAGCTCACTGAGACAAATGCAGTGATTGGTTTAGGGAGTTGGATGTGATGAAATCCTGACCAGTGAGACAGAAAGATATGTCCAATAAGGAGTCTAGAAGAAGTTTACTTATTCCTAAACTGATGCAATGTAACAAATGGTCCCTTTTTTCTGAATGTGTCATAGGTTAATATAATTCCTGGAGCTGCTACAGCCATGTTGTAATCACAAGAGGACACCTTTCTCCAACGCCCTTACCCCTGCTGATGGCTGAGAGGAAAATCATGAATGCCTATAGCAGTAATATGCAAGCTAGATATTGAATTTCAGAGCTATTACTCTTAGCTCTCCCAAAGCTATCATAAAATGGGAATATATAATTCTACAAAAATTAATAAGAGCTAATAATTTGTCCTCCAAAGCTATTTTTATTCATTAATATTTAGTAAAAAATTATTAATTAAGCATAAACCTAAAATATAATAGCTAGTCTCAAAGACCCTCAGGTCTGGTAGAATGTGTATCTTCACGAAATTCAACAGCTAAGAAACCAAGGATATTGACAACCAAATGAAGACTGCATGTTTAAATATATTTTTCTCTAAAGATAGTAAAGATCTACTATTTACATTCATTTTATTCATTTCTCTGTCTTCCATGCTGGTTTCTGAAATTTTGTGGTCAGAATTCTGTTTTATTACTCTTTGTACTCATAGAAACTCCCAATACCTGGCACACAGTAGACATCAATAAATGTATGCTGAATGAGGACTGAATACAATTCCTAGACATGAATTAGGAAAAAAAATGCAAAATACAGCTACTACACTTATTTCAACATTTTAATTGGAGACAAAAATCAATTATTTCCATTTATTATCAAGAGCTTATGGAATCTGGATAAAGTATAAACTATATTACTTCTGAATGTTTGAAAAAGCCATGTTAGGTCGGGTATGGTGGCTCACACCTGTAATCCCAGCACTTTGGGAGGCCAAGGCGGGCAGATCATGAGGTCAGGAGATCGAGACCATCCTGGCCAACATGGTGAAACTCTGTCTCTACTAAAAATACAAGAATTAGCTGGGCATGGTGGCACGTGCCTGTAATCCCAGCTACTTGGGAGGCTGAGGCAGGAGAATCACTTGAACCCAGGAGGCAGAGGTTGCAGTGAGCTGAGATCGTGCCACTGCACTCCAGCTTGGTGACAGAGTGAGACTCCGTCTCAAAAAAAAAAAAAAAAAAAAAGGAAAAGTGATGTTAATTTTATTATCTATTTTCTTCATAGAAATCCATCTAAAAATGAAGTACTAGCCTTAGTCTTTGCAACAGGTTATCATATTGTATCTATTCATTATATTGCCCTGGTGTTATTCTTACTTAAACCCATGTTATATTGATAAAATTAGTCATCCTAGATTTTGAGTTCCACAAAAGAGCTTAGTGTCACTTTAAATATAAATGTGTTAATAGCAATATTTTGGTTTTGCAAATCTGTATGGTGAAGGTGCAGTTTTTAAAAAATTTTGCAGAGGAGGGTGATTTGCAAATTTCAATTAGCAAAAGCATAATTAGTAAATGCAGAGTCAGATGTCCCTGGACAGTTCAATCAGATTTCAGTGGTAATATCCTACCTGGCATTTGTGCAGAGATTCTTGGCATTGATGTAAAAATCTGCCATGGCAATCTAGACATTCTTCCTTTGTATTCTCTGAGAATTGGCTCTGCTCTCAATTTCTGCCATCATCCTAGTGAGAAATTCAGAAAAATTGCCAGATGGCTCATCCTGTGAAGAACTCGGTGTAATCAGGAAGAATTTTGAAATAAAGCAAGCCTTGGCAGAAACCCGTTAGCAGAACTCCTCATTATTGTGGTTGTTTGAAGATCCATTTTTCTGTTCTCAAGGAGAAAATGAAATTGTTGGAAGCCAGTATTTCCACAGCATGACATGCCATGGGTTCGTGTCATTGCATAGGCAACTTTACTAATTTTCATATATAAAGCAAGATAGGCCTTAGCACATACATGGCAGAAATGTCCTATTCAAACTAAAAGAAGAAAAGCTTTCAAATTACCTTTATGCTCAGTACTTGATTTACTGTATTAGTGAAGAAAAGTAATGATAAAATAATCTGACAATTGAATATTCATTGCAATTTTGGACTTAAGGCCTTTAAGATAGGAACTAAGTCTTTTATAGATAATGATGTATAATGATATGACTAGTTAACGGTATCAGTTTGTTGAAAACTATAAAAGGAAAAGCTTGCTCCAAATAATCACCCTACTCTTCAATGCTTGTAAGAAAAATTCCTAGTTTAGAATTTCTAGTTTCAATGTAAAAAAATTATTAATTTTTAAATATAATACATATATGGATAATACAAAGGATAAATAAGGGAAATGATTCAATAAATAAACAGCATTCTTGAAAAGAGAGAATGATAACTAGAGAGAATACAGTTGAGGAGAGATTATTTTGATATTTGAGATTGTTTTTTCAACCCTTTTGTAATTGTAAAGTGCTATATTGTCTGTCTCTTTGGGTAGGTAAGAGAAGAGTGTGGCTACATTGCAAAGCAATCCCATATGAGGTAGGTGTAATGCCAGGAAAAGAGAATAATGCATAGAGGCTGAGAATTTGGAACCACATCTTGTAGAAATGGAGCATAAACAATTTGAAGTAAAGAAGGAAATCCGAGAGGGAATCTTGATATCCTAGAAACACCCACTGCCATTGGCATGTGGCACTGCACACATCTCATCCTTTCTATATCAAATTCTACATGCTGGTCCTCCATCTAGAGTGTACTTTTGTGTCAGCTCAACAACTATGTTAACTTCAGGTCTTGGTTTTCATTGTACCACATTTTCCTAGTCATTCAGTATAACTTTTTCTATCTTTTCTTTTAGTGTCCCTAAATATTGATCTTCCTTGAGGGAATGTCTTCAGCTTTCCTCTTTATTTTATGCTAAAGACTCTTTCAGGGTGTACCATGCTAATTTTTAATTTATTTTTAATGACAGATGGATTGCCCAAGCTGATCTTGAATTTTAGCCTCCAGTGATCCTCCCATCTCAGCCTCCCAAAGCACTGGAATTAGAGGCATAAGCTAACACACCTGGTCTCAACCTGTAAATCATTAAGGTGACAATAGAAAATTGATATTTTTGTTGTTATTTCATTTCATTGTGCTTCACTTTACTGTGCATCATGAATATTGCATATTTTGCAAATTGAAGGTTTGTGGCACCCCTGCAACCAGCAAATCCATCGGTGCCATTTTTCTAGTAATGTGTGCTTACTTCATGTCGCTATGTCAGATTGTGGTAATTCTCACAATATTTCAAACTTTTTAATTATTGTTATATCTGTTATGGTGATCCATGATTTGTGATTTCTGATGTTATTCTTGTAATTGTTTTTGGGATGCAACAAACCACACCCATATAAAACAGAGAGCATACTCCATAAATTTTGTGTGTATTCTGACTGTTCCACCAACCAACCATTATCCTGTCTCTTCCCTCTCCACAGGACACCCTATTCCCTGAGATGCAACAATATTGAAATCAGGTTAACTAATAGCCCTTAAATGACCTCTTAGTGTAAAGGTGAAAGGATGTGTCACACATCTCTCACTTGAAGTCAAAAGCTGCAAATGATGAAGCTTAGTGAAGAAGGCATGTTGAAAGCCAAGACAGACCAATAGCTAGGTCTCTCTTTCCAAACAATTAGCCAGGTTGTAAGTGTAAAGGAAAAGTTCCTGAAAGAAATTAAAATTGCTATCACAGTTAACACATGAATGATAAGAAATCAAAACAGAATTATTATTTGTTAGATACAGCTAGATTCCTATTCAAACAGTTTGTTCAATTCCCCTGTTCTTTATTCTCTAAATTCCAAGTACCCCCCACCCCCAGCTTTTGCTGCACAGTAACCTGTCTAAACACGCTTACACATGATAAGCCCCAGTCCACATTTCTTTTCTTATGTGGAATAGGTTAGCTTTCTAGTCCCCCACAGGTGACCTCTTCCTCCTCTCCCTCTCTCCTCTATCACACACATGCCTTATCCAAGAAAGTTTAAGTGATTAGCCAATCGGGACTAGTTTAGAGTCTGTGGTCCAACCCCAGCCAATGGGGGAAAGATACAGAGGTAGAATCTGCATTAGGAATAAAAACTCCTACTCTCCTTTGTTCTGTGTGCTCTTGTGATCATGACTGATGCAGGCAGCACCCTTCTGCAGAAGTAAATTTGCCTTGCTGAGAAATCCTTTATCTCAGTACTGGTTCTTCTTTGCAGCACTGTGCATTTGTTTCCAACATTACTGATGTGGAGAAAGTTATAGTGGTCTGGAGAGTAGATCAAAGCAGCCACGACATTCCCTTAAGCCAAAGTCTAGTCCAGAGCAAGGTTCTAACTCTTTTCAATTCTATGAAAGCTGAGAGAGGTAACAAAGCTGCAGGAGAAGAGTTTGAAGCTAGCAGGGGTTGGTTCATGAGCTTTAAGGAAAAAAATCCACCTCCATAACATAGAAATGCAAGGTGAAGAAGCAAGGGAGAAGCTGCAGCAAATTATCCAGAAGATCTGGCTTAGAGAATTGATTAAAGTGGCTACACTAAACAACAGATTTTCAATGTAGAAAGTTTATATTTTCTAAATGTAGAAGATGCCATCTAGAACTTTCATAACTAGATAGAAATCAAGGTCTGTCTTCAAAGCTTCGAAGGACAGCCTGATCCTATTGGTAGAGACTCGCTCAGGTTCTCAGGTCCCGTCCATCTGGCCCATTCATCCAGCCTATGATAGTGATTTAACTGAAAGATGGCCAGATTTATAGAAGGTTAGAATCACCCTATCCATAGGAAATGGGGTGAAAAGGGAATTTCATCACCTTAACCAAAGTTAGTTAGTCCTGTTACTGGTCCTGAACACCCAGAATTATGGAAGCTTACTGTGGCCTTGCACCACATTAGAATTTGGTCTGGAAATCAAGCTATAGGAACAAGAGATCGTAAGCCATATTATACTATCAACCTAAATTCCAGTCTGACAATTCCTTTGCAAAGTTGTGTAAAACCCTCTTATATGCTAGTTGTAGGAAACATAGTTATTAAACCAGATTCCCAAACTATAACCTGTGAAAATTGTAGATTGTTTACTTACATTGATTCAACTTTTAATTGGCAGCACCATATTCTACAAGTGAGAGCAAGAGAGGGCGTGTGGATCCCTGTGTCCACGGACCACCCGTGGGAGGCTTCCCCATCTGTCCATATTTTAATGGAAGTATTAAAAGGAATTCTAACTAGATCCAAAAGATTCATTTTTACTTTGATTGCAGTAATTACGGGCCTTATTGCAGTCGCAGCTACTGCTGCGGCTGCTGGAATTGCTTTGCACTCCTCTCTTCAAACTGCAGAATATGTAAATAATTGGCAAAAGAATTCCTCAAAATTGTGGAATTCTGACCCAAATACATCAAAAATTGGCAAACCAAACTAATGATCTTAGACAAACTGTCATTTGGATGGGAGATAGGCCCATGAGCTTGGAATATCTTTTTCAGTTACAGTGTGACTGGAATACGTCAGATTTTTGTATTACACCCCAAGCCTATAATGAGTCTGAGCATCACTGGGACATGGTTAGACATCAACTACAAGAAAGAGAAGATAATCTTACTTTAGACATTTCAAAATTAAAAGAACAAATTTTTGAGGCATCCAAAGCCCATTTAAATTTCGTGTCAGGAACTGAGGCAATTGTGAAAGCTGCTGATGGCCTTGCAAATCTTAACCTGGTCACTTGGGTTAAAACCATCAGAAGTTCCACTATTGTAAATTTCATACTAATCCTTGTATGCCTGTTCTGTCTGTTGTTAGTCTACAGGTGTATCCAGCAGCTCCGAAGAGACAGCGACCAGTGAGAATGGGCCATAATGACGATGTCAGTTTTGTCAAAAAGAAAAGGGGGATATGTAGGGAAAAGAAAGAGAGATCAGACTGTTACTGTGTCTATGTAGAAAAGGAAGACATAAGAAACTACATTTTGATCTGTACTAAGAAAATTGTTTTGCCTTGAGATGCTGTTAATCCGTAACTTTAGCCCCAACCCTGTGCTCACAGAAACATGTGCTGTATGGAATCAAGGTTTAAGGGATCTAGGACTGTGCAGGATATGCCTTGTTAACAATATGTTTGCAGGCAGTATGCTTGGTAAAAGTCATCGCCATTCTCCATTCTCGATTAACCAGGGGCACAATGCACTGCAGAAAGCTGTGGGGACCTCTGCCCAAGAAAGTCTGGGTATTGTCCAAGGTTTCCCCCCATTGAGACAGCCTGAGATGTGGCCCTGTGGGAAGGGAAAGACCTGACTGACCCCCAGCCCAACACCCATAAAGGGTCTGTGCTGAGGAGGATTAGTAAAAGAGGAAGGCCTCTTGCAGTTGAGATAAGAGGAAGGCCTCCATCTCCTGCATGTCCCTGGGAACAGAATGTCTCAGTGCAAAACCCGATCGTACATTCATTCTATTCTGAGATAGGAGAAAACCGCCCTGTGGCTGGAGGCGAGATATGCTGGCAGCAATGCTGCTCTGTTACTCTTTGCTACACTGAGATGTTTGGGTGGAGAGAAGCATAAATCTGGCCTACGTGCACATCCAGACATAGTACCTTCCCTTGAACTTATTTGTGACGTAGATTTCTTTGCTCATGTGTTTTCCTGCTGACCTTCTCCCCACTATCACCCTGTTCTCCTGAGGCATTCCCCTTGCCGAGATAGTGAAAATAGTAATCAATCAATACTGAGGGAACTCAGAGACTGGTGCTGGTGCAGGTCCTCTGTATGCAGAGTGCCGGTCTCCTGGGCCCACTGTTCTTTCTCTATACTTTGTGTCTTATTTCTTTTCTCAGTCTCTCATCCCACCTGATGAGAAATACCCACAGGTGTGGAGGGGCAGGCCACCCCTTCATCGATTCAGCTGGTAACTTTAAGTTGAAGCCAATGCTCATTTACTATTTTGAAAATCCTATGGCCATTCAGAGATATGCTAAACCCACTCTGCCTGTGCTCTGTAAGTGGAACAATAAAGCCTGGATGATAGCACATCTGTTTACACATTGGTTTATTGAATATTTTAAGCCCACTGCTGAGACCTACTGCTCAGAAAAAAAGATTCCTTTCAAAATATTACAGCTCACTTACCCTGCACCTGGTCACCCAAGAGCTCTGATGGAGATGTATAAGGAGACAAATGTTTTCATGCCTGATAACATAACATCCATTCTACAGCCCACGTATCAAAGAGTCATTTTAATTTTCAAGTATTAGTATTAAAGAAATACATTTTTTTTTCAGGCTATAGCTGCCATAGATTATGATTCCTCTGATGGGTCTGTGCAAAGTAAATTGAAAACCTTCTGGAAAGGAGTTAACATTCTAGACACCATGTAGCACATTTACGATTCATGGGGGGAGGTCAAAATATGAACATTAGAAGAAGTTCAGAAGACATTTATTCCAACCCTCATGGATGACTTTGAGAGCTTGAAGACTTTAGTGGAAGAAATAACAGCAGACGGGGTGAAACTAGCAAGAGAGCAAGAGTTAGAAGTGAAGCCTAAAATGTGACTGAATTGCTACAATCTCATGATAAAATTTATTGAATGAAGAGTTTCTTCTTATGGATGAACAAAGAAAGTGGTTTCTTGATATAGAATCTACTCTTGGTGAAAATGCCATGAACATAGTTAAAATGACAACAAAAGATTTAGAATATTACAGAAACTTAGTTGATAAAGCCATGGGAGGGTCTGGAGTCAAGATTGACTCCCATTTTGAAAGAAGATCTACTGTGGATAAAACGCTATCAAACAGCATTGCACGTTACAGAGAAACCTCTCATCAAAGGCAGAGTGAATGCTGTAAATTTCATTGTCTTATTTTAAGAAATTGTCACAGCCACCCCGCCTTCAGCAACCACCACCCTAATTAATCATTAGCCATCAACATAGAGGCAGACTCTCCACCAGCGGAAAGAGTAGAAGTCACTGAAGGCTAAGATTATTGTTAGCATTTTTCAGCAATAAAGTATTTTTAAATCTAAGTATGTACTTTTTTTAGACATAATGGTATTGCACTCTTAATAAACTACCAGGTAGTATAAATATAACTTTCATATGCACTGGGAAACCGAAAAAAACTTCACAGGACTCACTTTATTGTGATCCTTGCTTTATTGGAGTGGTCTGGAACAGAACCCACAATATTTCTGATATGGTTTAGCTGAATCGCCACCCAAATCTTATCTTGAATTGTAGCTCCCATAATTTCCATGTGTTGTGGGAGGGATCCAGTGGGAGATAACTGAATCATGGTGGTGGTTTCCCCCATACTGTTCTCGTGGTGGTGAATAAGTCTCACAAGATCTGATGGTTTTATAAGGGCCTTTCCTTTTCACGTGGCCCTCATTCTCTCTCTTGTCTGCAGCCATGTTAGAGGTACATTCTCCCTTCCACTATGATTGTGAGGCCTCCTCAGCCAGTTGGAATTGTGAATCCATTAAACCTCTTTTTCTTTATAAATCACCCAGTCTTGGGTATGTCTTTATCAGCAGTATGAAAACGGACTAATACAATCTCCAAGGTGTGCCTGCAGATATTTTCCTGTGATTAATCTGATAAGCACAGGATGTAGTCTTATAAAGATCATGAAAGATAAAGAAGTAAATTAATGATGGCTGCAGGTATACAATGTTTTTTCGAACATTTTAATGAGACAGGAAAAAGATGAACTAAAACTCGAAAGGGGCATATACTTTATCCCTGGATATATTAAATTTGAATAAATAAATGAATCAAGACATGTCTTCAAATATCTACATATTTCTCGTTTGTAGAATGATAAACAGGGAGTTGTGAAACTTTTGAAAATGTTTTGAATTATAATGCAATGTATTAAGTACAGAAAGATGATATTCTGTAGGCGTATGTTTTATATTTTTTGTGATTTTTAAGTTTTAAAAGCCAGAAATACCTGAGGAAAAAAGGACTGGCCCGTACTTTTAAAAAATCTAACCTAAATGTAAATAAGGCAGTTGAAATGACAACAAAGGATTTATGAACTACCAGTTCTGATATAGCCATATTTCTGTGTGTGTATGGACAAGAAAAAGAAACAATATCACATTATATTCATACTATTTTGGTGTCATCAGATCTTTCAGCTTTGCTCAAACTGAGGAAGGAATTACAATTACTTGTTTAAATTTGAATTTCCTAATTGTGTATTTGAGGACATCTTTGTTTTTATTAGTTCCATTCCAGTTTTTTGTTTTTTTGTTTTTTTTGAGACGGAGTCTCACTCTGTCACCTAGGCTGGAGTGCAG